>NC_000012.12:29985857-30138552 GCF_000001405.40 Homo sapiens | reverse complement strand
TTTCCCACGGTCTTGTTCCATCCCAAGCAGTGGATTGCTGTTGCATGTTATTTGGTGGAGATTCAAGGTTCTCTTGGTTCTCTCTATTTAGCCTCAGTCTTAGGAAGGCCTTGCTCGCATGCTTTTAGGAGGTGTACTTTCTTAGTGCTTCAGACTTCTGACCTCACTACACACCCTCCTCATCCTCTACAGCCGTAGTCTGCTCTCTATGAATGAGGGGTCTTGGAAGGAGCTCTTGAGTGAGGGCAAGTGTCCGACCACTCTCCCAGTGGTGGCAGGCCTCTCTTTTTATTAATATTGGCTTGGGACGCTGGGTTCAAGCAGCTTTCCCATCCCTCACTCAGCTGCAGGTGGCTTTTGCTGCTAGCCCTCCCTCCACCCCAGTGTACCTTTGTTAGAGACCAGGGGCAGGAGAGTTTCCTACTCTATACCCACTGTCTTCCTGATTTTACTTCATGTAAGATGGGGTTTAGTGTCCATGTCCCATTGAGAGAGGGCTATTCCAGGCACCATCTCTGCCCCATCTTGTGAGCATGTGATAGAGACTTCTGGAAAAAACTTGATGAATGAACAGGCGCTTTAATTCTGGGTCTCCCAGAGATTACCAACTGACAGACTAGTCCACAATCAGCATATGAAAATTTGTTACAATTTCATCTATTTTTTTCTTTCTTTTATAATAGTGGTCTCTTCCTCCATTACTGTGCCATAGGCAAATATGTATGTCCATTTATTCTCAGAAAAGCTGTCACTCTTTGGATGTCAGTATAACCTGATTATTTTAAAAATCATGTATTCCGCCAGGTAGAGTGGCTCACACCTGTAATCTCAACACTTTGGGAGGCTGAGGTGGGAGGATCACTTGAGGCCAAGAGTTCAAGACCAGCCTGAACAATGTAGCAAGACCCGTATCTACAAAAAAAATTTTTAAAAATTAGGTGGGCACCCTTGCCTGTATTTCTAGCTACTTGAGAGGGAGGCTGAGGCCAGAGGATTGCGTGAGCCTAGGAGTTCAAGGCTACAGCAGCTATGATCCTGCCACTGCACTCCAGTCTGGGCAACAGAGCAAGACCTTGTCTTGAAAAATGTATGTGTGTATATACATATATATAATTTTTCAGAACACCTTTCATAATATATCTTATCATTTTCATTCAATAATTCAGATCTTTCTATAGGCTTTTCCAGTCTTTATCCAGTGTACAAAATTTTTATATTATTTATAATTTAATTATTTTAAATAAAATGAGCTGCCTATAGACTTTGTTAGCACTTAGTACCTTGAGGCGGAGACATGTTTAGTGTATGTGAAGGCGCTGGGGAGGGGTTTGGGTGATTACTGATGCCCAGGAAAATGTTCTTAAGTAGGGAAGGAAATATTTAACTAGGATCATGCCCAGATGACCTTATTGTATCATAGGAGAAACAAAAATGAAGAAAGCCATTAGGAAATTTATAAAACCTGTATTATATTGGTATTGCTAGCTTTCTTAGTTATGAGATAACTTCCTTTGACGATTATCATCAGGGGAAAGGGTTTAGTCTTAAAGAGCCCTGCTTCCAGTGCTTTTTGGGTTGGTTGATTTACCCAAGCTGGACTCTCAAATTCCTTTATAGTGAAATCCAGAGAATGCAGGAATGTTGTCATTCTTTCTAATTGAGTCCCCAGAATATGTAGCAAAACAGGAATTATGTTGAAGTGTTCATCTGAAAGCTTATTGGAAACAGCATTGGTACTGGAACTGAACTCAACACTAAAATGCTTCGTCTCAATAAAATAACTTTTGGCATCCATTAGAAATTAGCACTAAAAGCTTTCCAAGTAAATCACATGCTAAGGAGACAACATTTCTTTAATTTATGGGTAGCATTTGGTAATGGTTCTAGCTATTGCTATCCTTGGTTCATTTTGCTTAATGTTGACTGGATATTGAAGCTTGGCAATTTTCAACACCCATATGATTTTCAGACAAAGGAAGATAAATTCATTCTGTTCTCAGTTGAAAATGATTAAAGTTAGGCATCCACTTTCTAATATATGTTCAGGAGCATATATTTAAAGAGATACTACTGGAATGTAGGCATTTCTGGTTGACATGCAATTTCATCAGTGTCAGAATAGCTTCTTTGTGGAGTAACCTACGCTTCAAGCTTTTCCATCAGCTAAATGCTTACTATTTGGAATTCTTAATCTTTGATTAAAAGCTGTGATTTTAAGATCATCAAAAATCTTTCTACCTTTTTGCAAAATACAACTTAGAGATTTGTATTTTATAATTTGTTCAGCTTCTGTCTGTGTGTGTCTGTCTGTCTGTCTCTTTCTCCTCTCCTTATTTCTTCTTTCTAATGTAGTATGCTGAAAAGTTGTGACTGTAATGAAAATAATCTCAGTTTATCTTTATATTGTAAAAACTCAGGAGATATAGTGATAGTTTTCTCATGCTAATGTAATTCTAGATCAGGCAGCAAATGCCTATAGTACCAAATTACTTTGTTAAAAAACTCTACAGTTTTTGTTTTCTTAAAAATTATGTATCACATTCTTTGACCATTGACTGATATTATATTTGTAGAGGGCTTGTGACAGAATGCCAAAAATAACACATGCTTGAAGCAATTTTAAAAATCACAAAGAGGGCCATTCTTTTTCAGCAGACAGAAAATGAGATTGTGGATATAAAAGCGAATTAAAATATAAAAATTAGTTTGTAATCCAGTAACAAGAATTGTGATTAACTATCATAATTATCAACCTATAACCATGACGGTGGCCACCATAACTACCCTGGACTGGGTACTTACTAAAGGTCAGAAGCTATGCTGATTGTTTAACATATGCAATCGATCGTTAAACAACACAGGGATTAGGGGAGATGATCCCCACCCCCTGCATGGTTGGAAATCCATGTATAACTTTTGACTTTCCAAAAACTTAGCTACTAATAGCCTACTAATGGCCAGAAGCCATACTGAACACATATTTTGTATATGTATTATTAATACATACAGTATTCTTTTTTTTTTTCTCACTCTGTCACCCATGCTTGAGTGTAGTGGCACAATCTCGGCTCACTGCAACCTCTGCCTCCCAGGTTCAAGCGATTCTCCTGCCTCAACCTCCCGAGTAACTGGGACTACAGGCGTGTGCCACCACACCTGGCTAATTTTTTGTATTTTTAGTAGAGACAGGGTTTCACCGTGTTAACCAGGATGGTCTCGATCTCCTGACCTCGTGATCCACCAGCCTCGGCCTCCCAAACTGTATTCTTACATTAAAATAAGCTAGAGAAAAGAAAATGCTATTAAGAAAATCATAAGGAAGAGAAAATATATTTACTATGCATTAAGTGTAAATGGATCATCATAAAGGTCTTCATTCTCATCATCTTCATGCTGAGTAGGCTGTGGAGGAGAAGGGATAGGAGGGATTGGTCTTGCTGTGTCCGGGTAGCAGAGGTAAAAGAAAATTTACCTAGAAGTGGACCCACGCAGTTCAAATCCAAGTCATCCAACAGTCAACTGTATTTAAATTTTTTTTTCTTTTTTTTTTTTTTAACAAAAGCCTATGAAGTAGGCGGTATTCAGTGTTTGAGAGCATGGACTCATTCACGCCTGAATGCCTGGGTTTTTATTCTGCACCACCATTTACCAGAAACATGATCTAGGGAGAATCATTTAAACTTTTTGTGTGTCAAGTTCCTCACGTGTGCAATGCCAAAAATTTTAGTACCTACACCTTAGGGTTGTTGTGAGGAATAAATGAAGTAGTATGTAAAAAGGATTGGCCGGCCACTGGCGGTGGCTCACGCCTGAAATCCCAGCACTTTGGGAGGCCGAGGCGGGCGGATCACAAGGTCAAGAGATCAAGACCATCTTGGCCAACATGGTGAAACTCTACTAAAAATACAAAAATTAGCTGGGCTTGGTGGCGCGCACCTGTTGCAAAGCTTATAGCTTGCAGAGAACGCCAAGAATGAGTTCTCAGACAATTCCAGCTGAGTGGGGAGGGGACAGCTCTTCTGAGAGAGTGCCACCACAGAATCCATCCTTCTGTCAAGTATTTATTGAAAGAACTTGTTAAACTACAAACATCCGCTAGATGGCTTTTTGAGGTCAGGTCCTGAGACACCTATGGCCTCGTAAAAGCGCTCAAACCTCATTCTCAGGAGGCTGTTTTCAGCGTTCCTTATCACACACTCCACTCTTGTCCTGTTTTCAGGGTCAAGGAGTTACATTCTCATGCACAAATAACATACACACAGTGCCTCAGTATTTTTCCATGCCCCGAACTCAAATGTCATGTACATAAGCTTGAATATGTTGCCATGTGCCCCTGACACCTGTAGTCCAGCTACTCTGGAGGCTGAGGCAGGAGAATCGCTTGAATCTGGGAAGAGGAGGTTGCATTGAGCCGAGATCGTGCACCTGCACTCCAGCCTGGTGACAGAGCAAGACTCCGTCCAAAAAAAAAAAAAAAAAAAAAGAATTAAAACAAACAACCTGGTACATAAAATCAGCTTATAAGCGGTAGTGCTAGGATTTCCCCATGTTTGTTTTGTGTCAAATCAACGTTGAAGAATCGTTGTTAAGAACCATTTTGTTTCTACAATGTTTCCTCTTTCTCTACTTATTGAATTAAGTAGGGAAAATAATATAATCTTGGTTTGACATGTTTATGATATAAGATATTTTACTCTTTCTATGAGCTTTTACCTTTGAAAGGGAAAACACAGAGTATAAAGAAATAGATAATGAAAAGAAAAGTATTCTGGGGTAATGTTATAAAGTCCAGTGTTTAGAATGTGCATGGGAAGCTTATGCTAATGCTAACTCCTCACAGAAGGTTGTAATTATTCAACAGATGAGAATTGATTGAAAATACCTGCTTGTGTTTATTCTTTATTTTTCTATGACTAACAGCTTGAAAAAAATACCCTGTTTGACATCTCTAAAGTCTCTGCTGAATAAAACAGCATTAGTTAAATAAACAAATCACTAAGTTGAAATGCAAGAAATCAACAAAGACATAGTTTACCCATTTTTAGGTAGATGAACCTTATTTTGACATAGGAAGATATTTTTATAGCTAGAATTTACAAATACTAATACTGTTTACATTATGCAAGTCATAGTTATCTTTATTTATATATAATCTATAAAATGCACATTTATTTTGAAATCATTCTAAGCAGGTGTCTGCATGGGGAGACCCACATTAAATATTTGCCCTTAAAAATTTAACCTCCAAAGTACTGGTAAAATATTTAAAGAGAACATAAATCTGGATTTCTAGGAGATGGAGGCAATTAATTTATCACAATTTGAAAAAGAAGCAAAACAAATCAAAAACAACCATTTAGAGTTGGGTGAGTGGAAGGATAATGTCAGTATTAGGTTAGGATCAGGCATCTTTCTGAACCTAATGAATAATCAATGCATTTTAGTTATTGATCATAGAGCTTTATGTAACTGAGTTACATTCTTTATCATAGATTTTTTATGTAACTGAGTTAATTCTTTATCATAGATCTTTATTTTTTGCTTTGCATTTACCTTTAAGTAATTTTTATTTGTGACTGTGAAAGAAATTGTGATGTGATCTGCATGAGGAACAAGTATGAAGAATGTATATATTTTTGGCTTAAAATGTTTTTTAAAAATACTTTTAGGTTCAGGGGGTGCATATTCAGGTTTGTTATATATGTAGATTGTGTGTCATGTGGATTTGGTGTACAGATCATTTAATCACCCAGGCAATAAGGATAGTACCTGATAGGAGTTTTTGATCCTTATCCTCCTCTTACCCTCCACCCTCGAGTAGACCCTGGTAACAGTTGTTCCCTTCTTAGTGTCCATATCTACTCAGTGTTTAGCTCCCACTTGTAAGTGAGAATATGTGGTGTTTGGTTTTCTGTTCCTGCATTATTTTGCTTGGAGTAATGGCCTCAAGCTTCAACCATTTTGCTACAAACAAAGTGAATGATTTCATTCTTTTTTATGGCTGCATAGTATTCCGTGGTGTATACATATCACATTTTCTTTATCCAGTCTACCATTGATGAACACTTGAGCTGATTCTGTCTTTGCTATTGTGAATAGTGCTGCAATGAACATATGCATTCATTTGTCTTTATGGTGGAACGATTTATACTCCTTTGGGTATATATCCAATAATGGGATTGATGGGTCAAATGGTAATTCTGTTAAACTCTTTGAGAAATTGCCAAACTGCTTTCCACAATGGCTGAACTAATTTACATTCCTGCCAGCAGTATACAAGTGTTCCCTTTTGACCACAATCTTGCCAGCATCTATTATTTTTTGACTTTTTAATAATGGCCATTTTGATTGGTGTAAGATGGTATCTCATTGTGGTTTTCATTTGCATTTCTTTAATCATGAGTGATGTTAAGCATTTTTCCATATGCTCGTTGACCTCCTGTATGTCTTCTTTCGAAAAGTGTCCATTCATGTCTTTTATCCACTTTTTAATGGGGTTGTGGTTTTTTTGCTGATAATTTGTGTAAGTTCTTTATAGATGCTGGATATTAGACCTTTGTCAGATGCATAGTTTGCAAATATTTTCTCCCATTCTCTAGGATGTTTACTTTGCTGATAGTTTATATTTCTGTGCAGAAGCTCTTTAGTTTAATTAGGTCCCATTTGTCAATTTTGATTTTTGTTACAATTGCTTTTGGCATCTTCATCATGAAGTCTTTGCCAGGTCCTATGTCCAGAATGGTATTTCCTAGGTTATCTTCCAGGGTTTTTATAGTTTGGGTTTTAGATTTGTCTTTAATCCACTTTGAGTCAATTTTTGTCTATGGTGTAAGGAAGGGGTCTAGTTTCAAACTTCTGCATACAGTTAGCCAGATATCCCAGTACCATTTATTGAATAGGGAGTGCTTTTGCCATTGCCTGTTTTTTATTGTCAATTTTATCTAAGATCAGATGGTTATAGGTGTGCAGAATTACTTCTGGGCTCTGTATTCTGCTTCACTGGTCTATGTGTCTGTTTTTGTTCCAGTACCCTGCTGTTTCAGTTACTGTAGCCACACGTATTCAATGTAGTATAGTTTGAAGTCAGTAACGTGATACCTCTAGCTTTGTTCTTTTTGCTTAGGATTGCCTTGGCTATATCAGACATTTTTTATTTCTATATGAATTTTAAAATCATTTTTTCTAAGTCTGTGAAGAGTGTCATTAGTAGTTTCATAGGATTTAATTTGATAACTGTAATTTTGTTTTTATGCAAAATCTTATCCCCAATGCAGCTTATTTCACTCCAATAATGCTTCATTAAACCACTCTAATTTGTAATTCTAAATGATGGAGAAACACTTAGAAAGGCTGAGATTGAGAGGCCCTCTGATCCTTTAATCAGAAGGTACTGGTGTTATCATGGTTGAAAACAAAGAGAATAGAATGTCTTTAAGATCTGAACTCTTATCATTGACACTCATTGCTACTTTTTCAAAAACTGCAGGTTGTAGAACCACTCTGGTTTTACTCATCTGAAAGCTAATATCGCAGCACAGATGTTTCCCTGGTTGTGGTTCAGTCAAAAGTATAAGAAAGCACATTAGGTGGAAGAGAAAAAAAAATGGCTTGTTTGCTAGGAAACCTGAGCTCTATTATGATATAGGATGATTATGAACTCTAAAGTGGTGGCAGTTGGAGGAGGTAATGTTTTTGCATACCTTCCAAGTTCCTTCTATATCCAGATTCTATGAAACTGCACTGCCATTTTTCTTCTTTTAAAAATTGTTATTCGTTCAATGGCAGGTAAAAAGTTTGAAGATCTGCTGGGTATTGGGAGCTGAGAGGGACTCCTCCTGCTGACCTAATACATTAAAAGGCACTCATTGATTCATTTAGTTATCAGACATATATTTATCACTTTCTGCTTATAATGTCTTAGTAATCATTTGCTTGTTAGAAAATAAAATGCTTTCAAAACTGTTTAAGCAAAAATGAAGACTTTATTGGAAGGAAACAGGAGAATCTCATAGAAACCAAGGGTGGGTATATAATCTTAGTTTCTGAACACAGCAAATAGTAATGTCAAACTGATTTGTTTTTCACCTTTTGATGGACTGTGGCTTCTCTTTGCTTTTAGTCCATGTTGTCTTTCTTTCCTCCCCTCTTCAAAGACTGGCTTTCCCTAAATTGGTAAGTGTAAAGTCACCTCCATCCCAGCTTTTCAAGGCCTCTCAGATTGAGTCTCTAAAAAAGATGAAATAGAATTTCTGTGTCCTGATTCCAGGTTCTCAGAGAAGAGACTGATTGGTCCAGCGTGAGTCAGGTATTGTTCACACCCTAGTTGGAAAGCCATCTAAATAAAAAGTGCAATAATGGAAGTATGCACAAAGTGCTATGGAACCACAGGACAGAGCATCTTACCCAACTTGAGAAGTTTAGCTGGAGCTGACTCTTAAAAGATAGTGAACTGAAGAAAGGTGGGAAAGTCTCTAGGCAGAAAGCATAGCACAAACAACATGAGGAGTATGCAACTGCAAAATGTGTGAACGTAACAACAAAGAGTTCAGGATAGGAGTGGTGGGCAGAATGAGGAACTCTGTCATAGACAATGTTGAGTGTGATCCCAAGGGGCCGCCTGTCCCTGGCAACAAGTGCAGTGGCATGGTCATCTTTGATTTAGATACCTATGTAGCAAAAAGTGATCATAAATCCCAAGAAACATATTGTTTAAATGTGAAAATTAAAAATATTCAAGCCACTTAATGGTAACTTTTTTGAGAATGACAGAGCAATAGTTCCCATATTTTTACCATAATCGAATGCCACATATTTGTGAAAGCTCAATATTGATTATCACCTAAAATTTTCCTTATACTTGTTCATAGCCTGAGAGAATTTTAATATTTAAAAAATGGTGTCAAGAGCTTTCAGGGTGCAATTGCTTTTCTATTCCACAAAATGAAGATACTATGCCATTACTCATACCTGTTAATTGAATTATGCATCTAAACAATTAATTTTCTTCCAAAGAACACACCAATTCATAAACACCTTCATATTTATTCAATATGATAAGTATATAATTTGGTTTTTAGCTTCTAATTAATATCATCATTTCTAAACACTTCTAGTTGGGTAAAATGAGAGCTGTCTACTGGCCAGTAAGATATGAGACATTGGTCAGAAGAGGAGAAATACATCCCCACAAAATTGGTAATTGGGAATAAAATGAATGCATTGGCACCAATGTCTTGTTTTCTTCTAATTACAAAGGCATTAAACATTCATAACTTCATTTTCAAAGCCTGATATACCTGGTTTTGATAATTTTAATAGTGAAATAGCAGCTAGTTAATGCTGATAAAGGCATATCTGAATTTCCTTGAAGAAGGAGGAAGAGAGTAGAGAATGTATTTCGTTAGTGGCTCTGTCAGTGAAAATTAAAATAAAAGCCATTTATTAAGCCCACTTCTGTCTGGATTATCCTTGTGTACCTGACTCAACTAATTACATGGTTTGGCTTGGAATTTAACTCATTCTTGTTGCATCCAGGCAGTTGATAAACCTTATACTAGAGCAGATGATTATTTATTTACTTGGCAATGAAAATGAACAGATGCAAGACAAAGGTATTTTTCTGGCTTGTTCCTTGAGAAGTTCTACTTATATGTTGACTGTGTTTTCAAAAGTGATATAGCAAGTGCAGCTCAACATCAGTTTGCAGCTATTAACTGTAGGTAATTCACTTTGATCAAGATGATGTGACAAAACCTGTGGTATCAAAGCTGTTAAAATTAGGACTTAAACAGTAAGAAATAATGTTTAGTTTTCACATAAGAAAATTTACATAATGATTTGAAGAGGTGCCCTTGCATATTTTGTTTTTTCTGAAAAGTGGTCCTGGAATTTCCTCTCATTTATTTTTAATTATGATGGACTAGCATAGCCTAGTGATTAGGCAGGTAGCCTCTGGAGTCAGAAGTGCTGGGTTCAGGCTGGGCGTGGTGGCTCACGCCTGTAATCACAGCACTTTGGGAGGCCGATGTGGGTAGATCATGAGGTCAAGAGATTGAGATTATCCTGGCCAACATGGTGAAACCCTGTCTCTACTAAAAATACAAAAATTAGCTGGGCATGGTGGTGGGCGCCTGTAGTCTCAGGTACTTGGGAGGCTGAGGCAGGAGAATCACTTGAACCCAGGAGGTGGAGGTTGCAGTGAGCCGAGATTGTGCCACTGCACTCCAGCCTGGCGATAGAGTGAGATTCCATCTCAAAAAAAAAAAAAAAAAAAGTACTGGGTTCAAGTCTCAGCTTTCTCCGTTATTAGTAGTGTAAACTTAGGTTATTTCTTCCTCCAAAAATGGGAATACTGGAGTACATCCTCCTTAGGCAGATGTTAGGTTTAAATGGAATAAAATATAGAAATAGTTAGCAAAAGGCCCAGCACAGCTTAAAGCATTCAATACACATTTATTGATGTTGTTGTTATTATTATTGTACAATAATCCTCATGAAGTTGACTAATTTTTTCTGGAATAGGGAATGGGAGAGAGTAAAGTATCAGATAAGCTTCCTGCCGAATACATCTAAGATGTTATTACTTAATTTCTTGAGAGTTTTGGATGAATGCTTTGTTAGCTCTTTGCTGTTGAGAAGGAAGAGGAACTCTATGGATTGTCTACTTTAAACTAGGAAATTTATGCATTTCAGTATCACTATGCCCCTACAAAGCAGGCCTTTTTTGCCACATTTAAACATGTGAAGGGCAAAGCTCAGAGAGATTGTGTAATTTGCACAGTCGTTGCATGGATGGAAAGTGGAAGATCCAGGATTTGAACCTAAACCTTGGTTTGAACCCAGATCCTAATTCCACTCTGTAGGCGGCCCAAGTCCTAGAGACAGAACCCCCTCATGATCTCCTCAGACAGCTGAAGGTGCTCAACAGACATGAAGAGCATTGTTCTAATCTGTTTTTTTCTGCCTATCCTGTGGGTTCTGAGTGGCTTTAGCCTACATATTACACCCGTTAGGCACTGATAATATGCTCTGCTCTTATCCAAGTCATCATTATGTGGCGATAAGTGAAATTTCCCTGTCCAGGGCCTTGGGCTCAGCACCTTTCAGAAGAGCCTTATTCACCTGGAAGTAAAATGTGTATGTGTCACACTCCATTTCTAAGCAGCCCTCAAATACATCTTTGAAGGACTATAGAATGATGGCCAGCTTGCTGATGAAATAAAAACCTGGGTCCTGATTATATATATGATGCGTTTTTTTTGTTGGATTGTTTTGTTTCCCAGTGAAATAAATTTATGTGTAACGTTTTTGGAGGATTAATTTTTTTTGCAAGGTCATGATTACTTTAGGGCTTTTGGCCATTCACTTTTTAAAGTGAATGCATGCCTGTGCAAGCATTCACTATGGGCATGTGTAAGTGACGTTTCACTGCAATTGGTCATGGTTGTGCACTCATGTGTCATAAGTTTAAAAAAAAGTGAGGCAGTTAATTTAAGGAAGAGGAAAAGACAAATGTAGTCTTCCATATCTCCTATTTGAAATAAAATGTCCTGTAACCTAATTTTTATGTTTCCATAAAACATTTCCTTTTAGCTTTTTACCTAGAACATATGATTCCTTATTGAAATATATTTTTAATAATTTTTAATAATTATTTCACAGGCTGCTTTTCCTATTTTTTTCTGAAGAGTTAAAAAACTGAAGAAAAGTATACAGAAAAATAAAACAAACACTCACATTCTTACTACCCCAAAAGAATAACTTTGAACATTTATAATTCTTCTTCCCAAGTCCCTCCAGGAAATGAAACACGGCAGGTACATCTAATGTCTCCATTAACTACATTTTTACAAATCATATTTCTTTCCCTTTTCAGGGATAAGAACTTTGACGAGTTTGGCATGTAGACTCCCACTGATATGTTATTTTTTTGCGAACTTGTCTATTTTTCCTAAATTACCCAGGAAACTGCTTCAATCTCTGGTTAGTCAAAACAAACAATTTCCTCAAAATAATGTATTGGAAGTAGAAGAAAATACACTATAGGACTCCCCGGATTTTACCCTTTCTTGGTCCCCTAATTATTTAAGGTATCACATGACCTAGTTTCTCCGAATATCAATTTTTATTTACTCATCTATGCTGTAATAACCCTGAATTCCTAATGATTGACTCAGAGTAGGAAGTTGTTTCTCAGATTACAAGAGTCTCAATAATCCTTAAACTTGTCCCTAAATTTCTAGCCCCTTTCAGCATCTTCATGCAAAGATATCATGGAAGCAATTCCTAGACTTGATATTATCAGAGTCCCTAACACTTGATCAGCAGATATCCTTCACTCATCCCTGGGTCATCATGTCCCTGGAACTGCAAATGAGAAACATTGCCTAGGGGCACCATATTCCCCCATCTGAAGAGAATGACAGGACCAGTCTAGTAGGCACCTAATTTCCATTTGCCTCCATTGCTCTCAGAAGCCCAAGCCTTCCAGATTTTGTGTCAACATTCAAATTCTCATCTCATCCTTATCCTGGACATCCCTCAACCAGACTGACCTTGCTGACATATCTCAACAACTGGATATGGACTAGCCATCCTATATTTGCACCTCATTCTCTCTCCTCTACATTCCTTCAAAAAGAAAATCACCATACAATACCTCTTTCTGTTGCTGTTGTTAGCTACCCACTCCTCTAGTCATTGTGACAGACTGGTTAAGGGTGTATGTTCTGTATTAGACAGCCTGGGTTTCAACCCCAACAGTGCTACTTGTTAGCTGTATGATTTGGGGCATGCCTCAGTTTCCTTATCTGTAAAATTAAGGTTTTGTGAGGAGAAATGATACTGCATGAATGGTTTTTGTTTTGTTATTTGTTTTTTGAGACAGAGTCTCGCTCTGTCACCAAGGCTGGAGTGCAGTGGCGTGATCTCCACTCACTGCAACCTCCACCTCCCAGATTTAAGCAATGCTTATACCTCAGCCTCCTGAGTAGCTGGGTTTGCAAGTGTGAGCCACCACACCTGGCTAATTTTTGTATTTTTAGTAGAGACAGGGTTTTGCCATGTTGCCCAGGCTGGTCTTGAACTTCTGGCTTCAAGTGATCCACCTGCCTCAGCCTCCCAAAATGCTGGGATTATAGGCGTGAGCCACCACGCCTGGCCCATCAGTGGTTTTTAAAAGAAGGTCTGGCATCTAGTACATATCTAATAAATATTAAACGTTATTTTCAAAATAATTGTCATTATTTCCTTATAATGGTGGAGACATCTCCATCGATGTCTATAGTGCATCTAAAATCTCAGCTTTAAGCAAACTAATGTCTAGTCACTGCCTCCTTTCCTTCTAGCTTGTCTCCTCTGATACTTCCTTCCAGCATTCTTCCATTCCAACAAGGACTCTAAGCCTCGAGTCCTCCTACCTTTCACTTTCAGTTGCCTTCCATATTTTCATTATCTTTCTTACCCACGTTCAAGCTTATGGTCTATCTTTATAATCCCTCTCTTGCAATAATGTCAACTCTCTTCTTCCTCTGTTCCTTCTTTATACTCATCTGGTAAAACTACCACTCTATCCCCAATTCTTGCCTACTCTGTCAGAATCCAAGCCATTAAATATTTATGGGAAAAAAACCCCACATGAGTCTGAAGATTTATAAAGGAAAATCTCAAATGGGGTCTCAATGCAACCCACCAGTCCTACTGAGTTTTATAGTATGATCCATTTCCCATTCTCCCAAATGATTATTTCACATCTCCTCTCTCTTCAAACCTACAACTCTTTCTCTACTGCCTCGGTTTTCCTAGTCGTCTTCCTGAAACGTTGGCTTCGTTTCCTTGATCTGTTTTGCTTGTTACTCTATCAATACCTGTTCTGCTTAAGAAGTTAACTCAAAACTTAGTGGCTTAAACTGACAATAATCATTCATTTTCTTCAGTTTCTGTGGGTCATGAGTTTGGGAGTGACTTGGGGTCCCATGGGGTTGCCAGTCAGATGTCACAGAGATCTGCAGTCATCTGAAGCCTAACTTGGCCTGGTTCACCCGCATGTGATGCTGCTTGAGTGTCTTCACAACATGGTGGCTGGCTTTCCCTTAAGTGAGCTGACAAACAGAGCTGGGTGGATACTGCAATTCCTTTTATGATCAAACCTTGAAAGTCATGCACTATCACCTCTACGGTACTGTATTGGTCATGCTTGCCAGCTATTATTCATTGTTGGAGGAGACAAGGTAACAGCATGAATACCAGTAGATGAAGATCACTAGAAGCCATTTTAGGTGCTGCACACCACTGCACATCAGTCTGACTGCTAAATGTTGGCATTCCACAGGTCTCTGAAGCAAGGTTTCTTTTCTTCTTTTTCTATACTCTCTTCCTTAGTGCTCTCATCCAGTCTTGTGGCTTTACGTATTCTCTACAAATTATTGATCATCAAGTTTATCTCCACCCCTAAACACTAGATCCATACAATCAAATGTCCACTTGATACCTCTAGTCAGATATATAATAGATGTTTCCAAATTCTTCCTCAAATATTTTCATAGTTTCCTCATCTCAAAAATTATACCAACATCTGTTCAGTCACTCAAGTCAAAAATCTGAGAATAATATTAAATTTCCCCCTTTCCTGACCAAATTCTTAACAATACCTTCAAACCGTATCCCAAATTTGTCTAATTTGTTCCACTTCTGTTGCCAATATCCTAACCTAAGCTATCATATGTTTGTTGAATTTAAATTAAAAGCTGCTAATTGGTCTTTCAATTTCTGCAATCCATTATTCACCCTTCAGAATGATCTTTAAGAATAATCAATATCATGCTGAAATACTTCCATTGACTCCGCTTCCACTTGGAATTAATGTCTCTTCCTCATCCTTCCAAAAAGGCCTTCCTGAATGGTGTCTGCACACCTCTATGATGCCATTTTCCCCCACTCCTTTCTTTGCTCACAACATTCCACCTATGCTTGCCTTCTTTCTGATTTTGGAACACGCCAAGCTCATCCCTGCACAGAGCCCTTTGTGCTGACTTACATCTGCCTGACATGCTCTTCCCCTGGATCTTTGTGTGCTCAGGTCCTTCTTATCATTCAGGTCTCAACTAATGTTCAGCCTCAGAGAGGCCATCCCTGACTACCCAATCTAAAGCAGTACCAGGTCATTCTTTATCTCATCACCCTGTTTTATTTTCCTCATTAATCTTAACACCACCTGTAATTCTTGCTTCTTTGTTGCTTTTACTACTTAGTAGAGTGTAAACTCCATGAATTCAGAGGCTTTAGGTCTCTTGGTCACTACTGCATTCCCAACTCCTGGGATAGTGGCTGGCTCATGTTAAATGCTCAATAAATGTTTGCTGAATGAGAAAAATGAATTGTTGTTAACTGGTCATTCACTAAGACATTCTTCTAGGTATCATATTTACTGAGTTACCCCTGGAATATTTAGATTATCAGAATGGAAAAAATTATGTAGAAGCTATTTAGCATGAACAACCCTCTGGTGTGTTCTAATCCAAATAAAATAAATGAAAAGACATCTTCTTTGACTCTGTAAGACAAATATATTTATACTAAACATCTGTCCTTCATTTTATATGTTCTCTTGTGAGAATTCTCTTTATTGCTCTTAGTACTTGTAGGAAAATTTGCCTACATTTTAAGAATGTTGCAATTTCAGTTATAGATAATTATACCTTCGGGGTGCATCTTATGTTAATGAAAACGTATGTCCCTTTATGCTATTTGCTACAGTTCTTTCATTTGCAGTGTTTTTCTTGATAGCTCTGTTTCTCAATTTTTTATTGTCCAAATTACTGTTAACCTGGATCCATATTGTGAAGAAACCATTTAAGTGGTCATTTTCTCAGCAAACTACCACAGGTTGTCTTCAGCATGACCACCCTTTTTTGTTGCAAGCCACTGTGCTGTTCCTTTAGAATGACCCTGAAATTCAGACACCTTATGAGACCCCACCCTTAATCTCCCTTAGCTTAAAATCTCCTTCCCTTCTAAGGTGCGATACATTTCCCTTTACTTATCATATTACCCATGTACTTTGCTTTTTCAATTATGCTGATTAGTTATTGTTTATGACATTATTTTTCTTGTAGATGTTTTGTTCTTCTTTCCCCCACTTATCTTACCATGTACTGTGGGGCAATATCTGCTGCATAGTGGACTCTCAATCTGGGTGGGTGGATGCTACTCTTCTGATCATGCTGTCCTGGAGGACCCAACTGAGCCAACCGTGACTGAATGATGCACCTCACCGGGTGAGATGCACATCCAAGCTACATGTGGCTGAACTTTCCTTTATTCCCATCACATTTTATGCCAGAATGTTTTATGAAACATAGACGTTTCTGTCAGTTTAATTATGCAAACATTTATTCATATTTATTCAATACCTGCTATTCAAATACAATACTTAATTCCAATTTAAAAAATCCTCTGAGGTATTACAGGAATATTGAGAATAATTAATAATATTAGCTGCATCAGGATTCTACCAGAGAAATAGAGCCAGGAGAAGAAACATATGTATATCTTAATCCTCAGTATTCACAGATTCCATATTTGCAAATATACGCACTGAAATGGGAAAAGTTCCCTTATCTCCCTCACAGGGCATGCAATGGGGGTGTGGCTCACTTCTTCAGTGCCCTGCTGCTCAAACCTGTAGGGGAAGCCTGCAGACGGGCAGGTTGTGGTCATGGGCTCCAACCCCACGGCAGTGTCTAGGGGTGAATGTTTACAGCTTTTGAAGCCTCAGTGGGCATGTGTTACCATGTTCTCTTTTAGTTTTGCCATCTATCTGTAGGTGGCTTGTGTTGATCAGCTCAATTAGACCCTCTGCCTTATCTCAAGGACAGAGGGCTTTCTGTATTCCAGGGTTCTTGCCTTAGTATACTGGAAGAGTCGGATCACACGTGGGCTTGGAGAATGAGTGCAAGGTTTTACTGAACGGTGGAAGTAGCTCTCAGCAGATGGATGGGGAGCCAAAAGGGGGATGGAGTGGGAAGGTGGTTTTCTCTTGGAGTCGGGTGTTCAGTGGCCTGACTCTTCTCTGACCGCCCCAGCCATATTCCCCTCAGGGTCCATGTCGTTCCGCTGGTCAATGGCCGGCCGGCGTCTTCTGGTGCCTCTCAGTGCGCTCTTCCGCACCTCTGCTCCTCTCGACTTCCAGCTGCCTGTGTGCCCTTTTGCTGATGTGTTCCTCTTGACGTGCAGCCACTTGTGTCTCTTCTACCAGTGTGTTCCTGTTGACATTCAGCTGCTTATGTTTGTGCCTGCTAGGGCCTCAGGGGTTTTATGGGCACTGGATGGGGGAATGGCAGGCCAGGGTGGTCTTAGAAAATGCAACATTTGGGTGCAAAGGCAGGAATGCCTGTCTTCACCTAGATCTGTGAGCATAGGCCTGAGGGTGGAGCCCTTGCCAGAGACCCCACCCTTCTCCTCCCAGTACTTCCCTGCTCTCCTCCTGTATCAATACTTACTAAAGTGTTTTTGTGATCTCCAAATTCGTATTCATGGTTCTTTCATGGTCATTCACAGACATACACAGAGCAGAGAAAAGTTTGAATTGCCCAGGACAGCTGAGGTTGAATGAAGCAATACTCTGCCTTCTTGTTCCAGCTCTAACACTATAAATGTATCCTTTTTGCAGTCAATTTAGTGCCATGTTTTTCACATTTTTATGCTTTTTTTGGGTGATTTCACTGTTTAAAATGCCCCCAAACCTTGTGCTGAAGCGCTGCCTGCCTCCTGTTCCTAAGTGCACAAGAAGGCCACAATGTGCCTTTTGGAGAAAATACATGTGTTAGATAAGCTTCCTTCAGGCATGAGTTATAGTGCTATTGGCTGTGAGTTCAATGTTAATGACTCAGCTATACAGTACATCCAGCAAAAAGAAGACATTCACTGCTCTGTATATGAGGCCACTCTGAAAAGTACTAAAATAACATCTATAGTTTTTGATGAAGCTATAGAAAAAATGGAAAAGTGGCTAAACTTCTGGCTTCATGAGATAATGACAGACCAAACAAACAAACAAACAAACAAACATACCGGACAACACTGTTGTGAGGCCGAAAATAGAGAAACTTAAGGTAAGGTTATGTTACCCAGAACCAGGAAAACCTTAAGCCCTTCTTGGCTAGAGCTGGCTGGCTCACACATGTAAAAAGCAGTATAGCGTGAAAAATGTTAAACTTGCAGGCAAAGCAGATTCTGTAGATCAAGAGACTATAGAATAATTTTTAAAATATCTACCAAGTTTATAATAGCTAAGATTTGGAAGCAACTTAAGTGTTCATAAACAGATGAATGGATAAAGAAAATGTGGTACTTATACACAACGGAGTACTATTCAGTCATAAAAAGAATGAGATCCAGTCATTTGCAGTGACATGGATGAAACTGGAGATAATTATGTTAAGCGAAACAAGCCAGATGCAGAAAGACAAACATCACATATTCTCACTTATTTGTGGGATCTAAAACTAAAAACAAGTGAACTTACGAACTGAGAGAGTAGAAGGATGGTTACCAGAGCCTGGCAGGGGCAGTGGGGGTGTTGGGGGAGGAGGTGGGGACGGTTAATGGGTATACAAAGATAGAAATAATGAATAAGACCTACTATTTGATAGCACAACAGAGTGACTACAGTCAATAATAACCGCATTGTACATTTTAAAAGAAAGAGTGAAAATTGATTGTTTGTAACTCAAAGAATAAATGCTTGAGGGGATGGACACCCCATTCTCCATGAAGTGCTTATTACACATTGCATGCCTTTATCAAAACATCTTGTATACACCATGAATACATATACCTACTATGTACCCACAAAAGCTAAAAAAAAAAAAAATCTGCTAAATATTATACAAAAGAATTATGTGAAGGAGAAGACTTTCAATGCCAGTGTTACTGGTTTGTTTTACCAGGATATTGGCAAATGAACCTATATCATGCAAATGGCTTCCAAAGCCCCTGGCTTTAAATCATTCAAAGATTGTGCAATTCATTATTTTTAATACATATATATTAAATAAGGTGTCAGAAACACAGGTAAACAAAGCTATGTACTGATTGGTTGATGAAAATGTGACCAGAAGCTTGCAGGAACCTAACCCTGTATTTTCTGTAGGAGCAATGGGTCTGTATTCACTAATTCAGTGTTCATGGCAACTTTACAGAACATAACTAGTGAATAATGAGATGCAACTTCTTGTCAAGATTTTTTTTCGAGACAGTCTTGCTCTGTCAACCAGGCTGGATGATAACTTTCCTAACTGCAGTCTTCACCTCCAAGGCTCGATTGATCCTCCCACCTCAGCCTCCTGAGTAGCTGGGACTATATGTGCACACCAGCACACCTGGCTAATTTTTGTATTTTTTGTAGACACGGGGTTTTTCTATGTTGCCCAGGCTGGTCTTGAGCTCCTGGGCTCAAGCAATCCTCCTGCCTCAGTCCCCCAAAGTGCTGGGATTACAGGTGTGAGCCACCATGTCCGGTCTTCTCAAGTACTTGAATAGGTTTATACAACTGTGGGCTCTGGCTAGACAGGTTCAAAATCTGTAGGGCGGGCCTGCGGCTGGACAATTTGGGGCAGGGGCTGGCAATGAAGTCTGGAGGCAGAATTACTTCTTCCCAGGGGAAATCCTCAGTTTTGCTCATAAGGCCTTTCAACTGATTACATGAGGCCCACTCAGATTATCAAGGATAATCTCCTTTACCTAAAGTCAACTAATTGTATATCTACAAAAACACCTTCATAGCAGCACTAGATTATTGTTTGATTGAGTAAGTAGATTCTTTGCCCAGCTGAGGTGACACATAAAACTGACCATGGCACTGGCTAACATTTACTGAGTCTTCACAATATTGATGCACTGGTCTCAATGCCTTCACACTTATTTAACCCTAACCACAATCTCATGTGGATGGTAATATTATTATCTGCATTTTACAGACAAGAAAACTGAGGCTCAGGATCAAGCAGCTAGTGTGTGGTAGAGCTGGAAATCTCTACCACACAGTAGGGTAGACCCCCTAGTCTATTCTCATGACCAGCTTACTCAACTTACATAAAGAGAAAGTAGTTGTGGCAAGAAATCTCATAATTCCAGAGGTGGGCCGAATTTTTACCTTAAAGATGGTACTGCCTAAATGGATTTTGAGGGTCATGTGCCATTCATCAGGCTTCTGAGCAGGTATTGGTCTCTCCCTCTGCCATAGGCTTCACCTATTCCCACCTAACCCAGGCTCAGCCTGGTGCTGGGTTCCAGGAAACCACAGAGGTGATATGATTGGTTATCTAACAATTACACATTTTTTTACTAGCCTAGAATAGGCTAACGCTGGTGACAGAAGTTAAATACCGTGAAGAAACAAAATTCACATACAGATCCATCAAATTATGTCTGGCAATGTTTACACCGAATTAAAATAATCTCTGAGGTCTCAGGTCATTTCCATAAACAGTGTGGCTTGAAGTGGTTGTACTGAAACCACTAAATGTCTTGAGGCAGAGGGTCTGTGATTGTTAGAAACATCTATTATAACTGTTTCAGTTGTAAAAAGCAAAGTGAGTGAAAATAGAAACACAAATTACCAACTAGTGAAATTGAAGTAAAATAAAACTAAAGAAAATTAAAGTTCGTTAAAAATTGATAATGGCAATTCAACATGAATATGGGGAATGGGCCACATGCATAAAGACTAATTCTTCAGCTATTTCCATAATGTGATTCAAAATACTATTTTAGTTTTGTTTGATTTGTGGAACTCTCAAAATACTTCATGATCTTTTCACTTAGGGATGTAGGTCACCCATCTGCTTACTGAGACAGCCCTAAAAAAAAAAAATTAAATTGTGAGGGAAATGTAAGACGTTCTGATATCCTTGGTGGAGGTCATTCATTCATTTATATGAAAAATATGCTGTGTCTCTAGGACCATGTGCAAAATCAGATCAACCACACTTATTCAGGCCAGCGCAGGTGTGTGGCCTCATCACAGAGAGACCAACTCAGCTGAGTGTTTGAGAAGAAACACATCATCCCCACGGAATCATACTTCCCCTCTCTCTAGGTACAGGAGGCACGTGGAAGAGGAAAAAAGATGAAATGTTATCCTGGATCAGTTAGAGAGTGACTCCTACTTTAAACAGCTCGCTTTTCACTACTTGGTGAAGGAATAGATGTTTCAACATATGTTTTAAGACATGTCATATACTTAAGGGAGTAAAACAGAGTAGTTGATTACCATACTACAAAAAAAGTACAAATATTTGAGCCCTGTTCTCAGAAATAAGTTATATTTATTTTCCCCAGTGATATGCTGGATATAGGTCTTCAAAGAAATATAAGAGAACAGTTTCAGTTCCATTAATATTCTGTGGAAATTGCCATTTAAGAAAGCTAGGCCTTGTGTTGTCAGATCAAAGAAATGGGAAGTTCCCCAGATACGTGATAGAGTAAGCAGAGCAAGATTGAAATGTGTGAGAATAAGTAGGAGGTGTGGAGGATGGAAAACCTACCGTTGGCGCAGAACCTGAGGGAAGGACTGTTAGGGAGTGAGGGGTCAACTAGGAAAGTAGCTCCTAAATGGTGAAGGCTCATGCTGAGGCATACAGCCAACTTCATTGCAAATGTTGTCAGGTTACAGCTAGGAAAGTGGAGGCAGTCGTGTTTAGAAATGGTAATTTTGATCAAAATTCATTCCTTTAGATGGAAAGGAGACATGAGTTGGGGGGAACAGCTGAGACCTTAGCCTGACTCTTGCGGCCTCTCTGTATTACTAGCAATGGCTGGCAGCTTCTGACCTTAAGGATAAAACACAGGATCATAAGTAAACAACTTCACAATGACACAAGGGATTTCCCTTGATTATGGCTTTTCTGTTAACCAAAGGCATTCTCATGGATGAATCGATGAAGTCAGGGAGGCCCTGGGCCTGGGGGAGCTGACACTCAGGCATGCACTTTCCTCCTTGGGGTTCTCAGAAGGGGGGAATGAAGCCAAGTCAGATGGCCTGGTTCAGATGCAGTGCTGCACCCACTCCATCTTTGACTCAAGTTACTTAACCCTTCTAGACCTCAGCTTCCTCACAGGGAAAATAGGGCTAGTACAGCATCTCTCTCATAGGATTGTTATGATGACTAAAGTAGACAATGCCTAGGACCCGGCATGAAGTGGGCTCTGAAGTGTTTGTAGTGTAGCCACTGTGTCTGACTCTTTTGGTAAGATACTTCTGCTTTAGTTATCTCATTTAAGCTTCACAACAGCATACACAAACGCTTTTATTATTTACATGTCTTAAATGTAAGAAAGTTGAATTCAGAGAAGATAACTTGTCAAGAGTAACACAGGCAGTCACTATTTGAATCCAGGTCTTTCTTGACTCAAGTCTTGTTCACTGTACTGGGAAGGTCAGCATATATAAAAGATGGTACTGGAGCACTGTTGGGAACCTCCAGCTGAGTACAGAGGTGAGAGGCTTCGTCCTGGAGGCTGTTGGGGATAATGGGATGTTGTGGCTGGGTAAGAGGAGACCAGTTCAAATCTGTGTTGTTGGACTGACTTTAAACTGTGTTGAGAAACCTGCATGAAAGGGATGTGGGAAGAGTGGCCTCCTCCATCTGAAAAGGGTAATGGGTATTGTTTTCCAGATGTGTGATTTGTCATGTCACAGTAGAGCAAGACCTCACTAATGGTGACACAACAAGACCCAACAAGACCCAATGTGGTGAATAATAAGAACTCATGCTTTTTTGATCCCTTGATACAGTATGCACTGTGGAAGAAGTTCTCCTATTCAATACTGACAGGAATTCTCTGAGGCTACTTGCTGTTATCATCTCCATTTTGCAGTTGAGGAAACTGAGGCTGATAGGTGGAAGAACCAGGATTGGAAGGGACATCATAGGCACCTGAGAGCCTGTGATGACATCCCCTGCACTGTCTTTCTCCGGCAGCTGTACACTCATTGGCCTCGTGTCCACATTTCCAGTCTCATCTCCCACTGCCATTTTGCAGTACTTTGCTCTCACCACATCCCCTTCCTCTCTGCTATGTAATGTATCTGTCCTTTCTGCTTGTAATGGTTTTAGTATTGCCATCCATCTCCACACCTTCTCCCCAATAATTTCTTTTGGCATAAAACAATCCATTTAATACTTTTTTTAAACCACCTGTCCAGGTGCTGGAGAGGGTGTGGAGAAATAGGAACACTTTTACACTGTTGGTGGGACTGTAAACTAGTTCAACCATTGTGGAAGACAGTGTGGCAATTCCTCAAGGATCTAGAACTAGAAATACCATTTGACCCAGCCATCCCATTACTGGATATATACCCAAAGGATTATAAATCATGCTGCTATAAAGACACATGCACACGTATGTTTATTGCAGCACTATTCACAATAGCAAAGACTTGGAACCAACCCAAATGTCCATCAATGATAGACTGGATTAAGAAAATGTGGCACATATACACCATGGAATACTATGCAGCCATAAAAAGGGATGAGTTCATGTCCTTTGTAGGGACATGGATGAAGCTGGAAACCATCATTCACAGCAAACTATCGCAAGGACAAAAAACCAAACACCGCATGTTCTCATTCATAGGTGGGAATTGAACAATGAGAACACATGGATACAGGAAGGGGAACATCACACACTGGGGCCTGTCATGGGGTAGGGGGAGGGGGGAGGGATAGCATTAGGAGATATACCTAATGTAAATGATGAGTTAATGGGTGCAGCCCACCAACATGGCTCATGTATACATATGTAACAAACCTGCACGTTGTGCACAAGTACCCTAAAACTTAAAGTATAATAATAAAACAAAAAACAAAAAACAAAAACACCTGTCCAGTTCATTGCAACCTATCTGGAAACCTATAGCACTTATTATTGCCTTCCTTATTCAGCAATTATCATTTGCCAGTTTGTATTCTTAGGTTAACAAGCCCTCGAAGTCTTCCATTTTTAACCCCCATCAATCCTTCTTTCCACACTGTCTAACTTAATAAATATTGACTAATTGAAATTGACTAATTTCAGGAAAAGAATATAATAATCTGGAAAAACAATTTTAAGACACACAAAACACATTTATTGTAAAATTATAGCATGAGTCAGAGTTTATGGATATTAGAATAAAAAGCCTTCATCATCTTATTTCAATGAAAAGAAAGTAAATTAATGCAAAAAATATATAGCCAAGGAAAAAACTATAACCGAAAGGCAGAAAGTTAAAGGGATATGCCAGGATCATGGTGGAGTTGACACACCAGTTTGGAAGACTTAGGTCAACTGGGGACCCCAAATCCTTGAGTGTGAAACAAAGTGCAGCAGCCAAAGTGAGAAAAATCATCTATACCATAGATAGTTATTAAGCAGCACTTCATTTCTCTTATGTATCTTTTTAGTAGTCCTCATGCTAAATAACATTTTGTATAAATTGTGATATTATTTAATTACCTGACTTCATCCAAACAAATGAGAGAAAGATAATTTAGAAGTAAAATTGATATTAGATTTTGATAGTTTTATTGTGTCTTATTCCAGCAGTTGTTTGCACAAGAAGCAAGCTATCTCTGTAGCCGTGTAGGTTAAAATTGTTATCTAGTTTAAAACATTTTTCTTTTAAGGACTTAATATTTACTCCCTGATATTTTGCCATTATGCTGTTGTTGTTGTTGTTGTTGTGTGTGTTTAAATATATATCTGCTTTGCTAAACATTTAGGCTTCTATTCACACCATTGCTGTGCTTGCTGAATTAAATCTTTTAGTAGAAACTACAGTTCACTGATCAAGTATTGAAAACATCAGGCCAGGCAAGGTGGCTCATGCCTGTAATTCCAGCACTTTAGGAGGCCAAGGTGGGTGGATTGCTTGAGGTCAGGAGTTCGAGACCAGCCTGGCTAACGTGGTGAAACCCTGTCTTTACTAAAAATACAAAAATTAGCTGGGTGTGGTGGCATGCACCCGTAATCTCAGCTACTCAGGAGGCGGAGGCAGGAAAATCGCTTGAACCCGAGAGGTGGAGGTTGCAGTGAGCCGAGATTATGCCACTGCACTCCAGCTTGAGTGACAGAGCAAGACTTGTCTTGAAAAAAAGAAAAAAATTAGATTTTTATTTCTCAATCTTTTCTCTAAACATTTCCTAGAAATAGGGAGAATCCATTCCTATTTCATATACTAACAGAGATGATGTTTGTAAGAACATCTCAGATTTCCAGGTATACCATGACTTTCCTCTTTTTGGAATATCTTCCTGTCTTACCTTCACATATTGTTAGAAGACAGAATGCAGCTATTTTAGCTAAGACATGTAATTAACCTAGGTACTCATCAATGGTTGATCGGATAAGACAAATGTGGTACATATACAACATGAAATACTAGGCAGCCATAAAAAAACAACAAAATCATGTCCTTTGCAGCAATATGGATGCAGCTGGAGGCCATAATCTTAAGTGAATTAACACAAGAACAGAAGACCAAATACAACATGTTCTCACTTATAAGTGAAAGCCAAACATTGGGCATACATGGACACAAACATGGGAACAACAGACACTGCAGAACAATCAGGTGAAGCCTCAGCTGGCATCAAGGCTATTAGAGGTGGGAGGGATCAAGGGATAGGGGAGTGGGTAGAAAAACTACCTATTGGATAGTATGCTCACTACCTGGGTGACAGGATCCATACTCCAAACCTCAACATCACACAGTGTATATATGTAACAAACCTGCATGTGTATCCCCTGTATCTAAAGTAAAGGTTGAAATTTAAAAAAAGAATGTATCTGTTTTATATAACTGTTATATTTCCTTGCATAAAAGAGATAGTTAAAAATA
Source organism: Homo sapiens (assembly GCF_000001405.40). Classification (NCBI taxonomy): domain Eukaryota; kingdom Metazoa; phylum Chordata; class Mammalia; order Primates; family Hominidae; genus Homo; species Homo sapiens. Next base: position 30,112,670 of record NC_000012.12, on the reverse strand, counting down.
TCGTTCTCCGCCAGGCACAGTGGCTCATGTCCATAATCCTAAGACTTTGGGAGGCTGAGGAGGGCAGATCACCTGAGGTCAGGAGATCGAGGCCAGCCTGACCAACATGGTGAAACCCTGTCTCTACTAAAAATACAAAAATTAGCTGGGTGTGGTGGCGGGCACCTGTAATCCCAGCTACTGGGGAGGCTGAAGCAGAATTGCATGAACCCAGGAGGCAGAGGTTGCAGTGAGCTGAGATCGCACCATTGCACTCCAGCCTGGGTGACAACAGCGAAACTCTGTCTCAAAAAAAAAAAAAAAAAAAAAAAAAAAAAATATATATATATATATATATATATGGGGGTATATATATATACATATGTATAATTTATACATATAAATTAATATACAAAAATTATATGTAAATAATATATACATATGTTTTTCATACAGGCTTTTTCTCACTTTCTGAACCTATTAGTGGAATTTCTCTATGTGCTTTCTGCCTTATTTATACCCAAAATAATTCTGTACAAAGTTTACTATTAAGATGTGAGAGCATACGAATCATTACTACCCTGTTTACTGGCTCTTTTAAATGTGTGCAATTTATTTTAATATGGAACAGCTGGAAAACAATCAGGTGAAACCTCCTTTGGCATCAAGAAATAATTAAATCATCTTCTTGCTGATACCCACCGTCCTCAGCTGCAGATGCCAGAGCTGTCATCCTTCAGTGATCTGTCCCAGAGATGGTTTTAAATGTGGAATCTCTGCTTGTTTGCAGCAACTCTGACTGTTTTAAAGGATAAGTGGGGGAAAGGACATGATAGTATCTCCTCCTCTCTAGGTATGGGCATTATTTTGTTGAAACTAGTCAGATGTGGAAAAATGGTTCTGTAAGGTGCTCAAGCCCGGGATTTTAAGTCATATATGTTATAATAATACACTTAGCACAACCCTTCTTTCTCTTTGATGAAGAAATGTGGCTGTTTTCTACAAAATGCATTTTGGAAAAGCCACTTCTGGCGGTTTTACTGCATGTGGCCATTCAATCTGACTGGCAAGCGACGAAAACCGCCTTTCTTTATTCATTTCTTAAGTCTCATCGACTCAGGTAATATATATTCAGTGTCTTTGAATTTATTAGATACAGCTAAGTGGATTTAGACTAAAATAATTACAGCTTTTGATTCAATTTACAGCATGCTTTCTGGGATTTCCTGCTCCCTGAAGACACCCAGCCACTGATTCCAGGAATATTCCCCTTGAGTGGCTTGTTCCACACACTGGCCCTACACCTCTCAGGAATATCTGCCATACACAACAAACAGTCTCTTCGACACCCTCCTAGAAGACACCAAATACAGAAAAAAAGGAAAGATTTAATGCAAAGAATAAATGTATTCATCCAGTCAAATGAGTGCCATTCACTGTCTAGGTCTAGAATGTATACCCGTGAAATCAGAGTCTTATTCTCAGCAGCTGACAGAAAAGAAGGCATGTAATCAGATGGAAACATAATGTATGAGTCACATCCTCAGTAGGAAAAAGAAAGCACACTTACGTAAAGATAATTGGAGGAGGATTTGTTCACAAAGGCAGGTTTATAGCCATAGAGAGGATGGTGTGATGGTGGAGTACCCTAGGCTAGTAAGTGGAGAGTTGCTGTTATTGAGAGGTGACAGCGTGTTGGCAGCCCTTGCAGCCCTCGCTCACTCTGGGCACCTCCTTGGTGTTGGTGCCCACTCTGGCTGCGCTTGAGGAGCCCTTCAGCCCGCTGCTGCACTGTGGGAGCCCCTTTCTGGGCTGGCCAAGGCCAGAGCCTGCTCCCTCAGCTTGCGGGGAGGTGTGGAGGGAGAGACGCAGGTGGGAACCGGGGCTGCGGGTGGCGCTTGCAGGCCAGCGGGAGTTCCGGGTGGGCAGGGGCTTGGCGGGCCCCACACTTGGAGCGGCCGGCCGGCCCCGCCTGCCCCGGTCAGTGAGGGGCTTAGCACCTGGGCCAGCAGCTGCTGTGCTCGATTTCTCGCAGTGCCTTAGCTGTCTCCCCAGGGGGCAGGGCTCAGGACCTGCAGCCTGCCATACCTGAGCCTCCCCCGACCCCCGCCCCTGCTGCAGGCTCCTGCACGACCGGAGCCTCCCCGACGAGCGCTGCTCCCTGCTCCAGGGTGCCCAGTCCCATCACTGCCCAAGGGCTGAGGAGTGTGGGGGCACAGCACGGGACTGGCAGGCAGCTCTACCCTGTGGCCCCAGTGCGGGATCCACTGGGTGAAGCCAGCTAGGCTCCTGAGTCTGGTGGGGACTTGGAGAATCTTTATGTCTAGCTAAGGGATTGTAAATACACCAGTCAGCACTGTGTATCTAGCTCAAGGTTTGTAAACACACCAATCAGCACCCTGTGTCCAGTTCAGGGTTTGTGAATGCACCAGTGGGCACTCTGTATCTAGTTAATCTGGTGGGGACTTGGAGAATCTTTATGTCTAGCTAAGGGTTTGTGAATGCACCAATCCGCACTCTGTGTCTAGCTCAGGGTTTGTAAATGCACCAATCAGCACTCTGTGTCTAGCTCAGAGTTTGTAAATACACCAATTGACACTCTTTATCTAGCTAATCTAGTGGGGACCCACGTGGAGAACTTTTGTGTCTAGCTCAGGGATTGTAAATGCACCAATCAGCACCCTGTCAAAACGGACCAATCAGCTCTCTGTAAAACAGACCAATTGGCTCTCTGTAAAATGGACCAATCAGCAGGATGTGGGTGGGGCCAGATAAGACAATAAACGCAGGCTGCCCGGGCCAGCAGTGGCAACATGCTCGGGTCCCCTTCCACATTATGGAAGTCTTGTTCTTTTGCTCTTTGCAATAAATCTTGCTGCTGCTCACTCTTTGGGTCCACACTGCCTTTATGAGCTATAACACTCACTGTGAAGGTCTACAGCTTCACTCCTGAAGCCATCGAGACCACAAACCCACCAGGAGGAACGAACAACTCCAGATGCGCCGCCTTAAGAGCTGTAACACTCACCGTGGAGGTCTGCAGCTTCACTCCTGAGCCAGCGAAACCATGAACCCACCAGAAGGAAGAAACTCCGAACACATCCGAACATCAGGAGGAACAAACTCCAGACACGCTGCCTTAAAGAACTGTAACACTCACTGCAAGGGTCCGTGGCTTCATTCTTGAAGTCAGTGAGACCAAGAACCCACCAATTCCGGACACATTATCACCCCTAGAGCTAACAGGAAGAAAGAACACAACAATTACCCAAACCTGGAATGAGAGAGTCTTGTAGAAATGTCCCCTTGAGAAGTGCAAGGAGTGACACATCCATCTTAAGGCAACACGAATGATACACTGACTTTCCTTTCCTCCCTTCCTCTCACGTCTTGTCAGGGCATTCCATTGCACTCAAACTGCAAGCCAGAGGACATGGGAGCTTGTCGTTGTAAATAGTATAGGGTAGTCTTCTGGACAAAAAGCAGAGTGAACCAGGATGGAGGAAAGATCTCAAGGAGAAACAAAGACACCAAGCAAACACAGATTAAATGTCCTGCCAGCAAGAGTTCCTTATGTAGTAGGGAGACAGGGCAGTAAACAGACTGGATAGGCTGGTTGACATGAGCTCCATAAGTGGCACACACACTGTGCAATTGGAGGCCTAAGAACAAATCCTAATTCAGAGGGAGAGGAGTCGGTGGTGTTTTTGGGAGACCTTTTTGAACTTTGAATAATGAAGAGTTTGCCTGGTGAGAAAACTAGCCCCTGAGTGAGGAATTGGCCGGGCACACACAGCTGGGCCTTGACATTCTGTTGCATATGAACAATTTCACACAACATTAACATCAGACAATGTTGATGGATCTGTGCTTGGATGGATCAAGCCAAAGACAATAGCACTCTGTAATTATGTCTGAACACAGACAGATGCATGAAGATTGTCCAAACCACAAAATAGTCAAATATTCCTCTATCCTAGATAATATGAGTGACTGCTCCTTTTTTTTTTTTTTTTTTTAAATGGAGTTTCACTCTTGTTGCCCAGGCTGGAGTGCAATAGCGCGATCTCAGCTCACCGCAACCTCCACCTTCTGGATTCAAGTGATTCTCCTGCCTCAGCCTCCCGGGTAGCTGGGATTACAGGCATGCGCCACCACGCCTGGCTATTTTTTTTGTATTTTTAGTAGAGACAGGGTTTCTCCATGTTGGTCAGGCTGGTCTCGAACTCCCAACTTCAGGTGATCCACCTGCCTCGGCCTCCCAAAGTGCTGGGATTATAGGCGTGAGCCACCACACCTGGCCAACTGCTGCTGCTTTACAAATTACAGATTTAGCCTTGTTCCATCTCTCCCGCCTTATAGATAAGATTTATTGAGATGCTCCATCATGGAATTACCCTCACTTCTAACAGCGTTCAGTCCTGAGCAAAGCCCTTCCTTTCTACCCATATTCACTAAATACTAGCCCAAATCTTATAATAAGTCCTTTCTAACGTTCGGACTTAGATGCCCCACGTCTCCCCATGGTGTGCACTCTCCTTTTCCACAATGAGGAGCAATAAACTCAATGTGTGCAGTCACAGCTGTGTTCCTGGTGGGTTATGGTTGTAGGGTATTGACACTGGCTATAACTGAGAAAGACATTTTAGGCTGGCAGTGCATCATATAAAAACGAATAGAAGGGAGATAATATAATACCGGGGCAAAATTATTAATAGTTCGCAATGGTTGCAGCTATCTAAGTCCATTAGATGCTGTAAATATGCCCCCAAGGCATGTAATTAAAAATAAGTTTTACTTTTTCCTAGCTTGTGTAATTAGGTGAGGAAGGGAAACAACATGTATACAAATTGGAAAGAGATCTTACGTTTTGAAGTAACCCAAAATTTACCCATATGCAAAAAGTCAAATCAATTTTTGTCCAGATTTTCTGATTGCAAAATTAAAATAGAGCTGTACTTTTCTCATTTCTATGGTGGTTGGGATGGAAGTGTAGCCATTTTTTGTGGGCGTCCTAAACATGCTGAATTGCCCTGCTGGGTAATCCCGAACTCTTGTGGACATTGTGGCAAAGATGAGACAGCAGTACGAAGCAAGGACAAGATAGTATGCAGCCTTTCACAGTGTGCCAGAAGACAATGCTATTCTTTAAAAACACAGGGGAGTCACCCAATCAAGCTTTAAAATCCTTGCATAATTTAATCCGTATTTTGAAACAGAGTCATATAATGCTAAAATAGTTGATAACTTACTTTTCTGCTGTGCTTTTTCTGCAAGTCGTTATAAATAAAAATATTAACACAGCCGGGCGCGGTGGCTTACGCCTGTAATCCCAGCACTTTGGGAGGCAGAGGCGGGAGGATCACGAGATCAGGAGATCGAGACCACGGTGAAAACCCGTCTCTACTAAAAATAAAAAAATTAGCCGGGCGCGGTGGTAGGCACCTGTAGTCCCATCTACTCGGGAGGCTGAGGCAGGAGAATGGCGTGAACCCGGGAGGCGGAGCTTGCAGTGAGCGGAGACAGTGCGGCTGCACTCCAGCCTGGGTGACACAGCAAGACTCCATCTCATAAAAAAAAAAAAAAAAAAAATGTGTGTGTGTGTGTGTGTATATATATATACACACACACACACACAATAATTACTAAAACTTACATTGAATTGACTTTATGCCAGGCATCGTGCTAAGCACTTTCTACACGTTTGTTTACTTAAGCCTCACGTTTGTAGAAGGAATTGAGAGACAGAGAGTTTAAGACTTTGGCCTAGATCACCCAGTTAGTAAGTGTAGGAATTGAGATGTGAACTGGCGGAGTTTGTCTCCAGAATCTGTGCTTTGCTGGATTGGAAGAGTTAAACTGTGGTGTAGATAAGTGCTTTTAAAACATTCATATGCATGGGAATTTTCTGGGGATGTTTCAAAATAATTCCTGGTTCATTTGGCCCAAGACAGATCTGAGAGTCAGCATTTCTACCAAATGCTGCTCGTCTGCTTTGAGTGGCAAGGGATAGACGACTTGGATTATAAATGTGGGGTCTGCGTCCTAAGGATAAGCCTCTGGGTAGCTCAGTGCAATTAATCTCTTTGCCATCCCTTTGCCTGATGTGTGAAATGAGCAAGTTGGGTGATTCTTAAGGTCTGTTCAAGCTTGTAAAACCCTGCACTCCCTGGCTTCCCACATGTGGGCAGCTCCTTTTAGCTGTCATTGGCGTTTCCCTGGCGGTGACTGTCCAGGAGGCTACAGAGAAGGAAGCTGGTGTGCGTGGCCTCCTCCTCCCCGCGTGCTGAATTCAGATCACAGCTCCTGAGCTTCTGGACTGACAGGATGTACTCTGCTGTCAGCTGTTTCCTTCCAACTCTGAGATCTCTCAGCATCTGGCTCTGCTCCCTTCTGCCCCATGGATCCTCACTCCCTGTCACAGCTGATTAGGGTGCTGGCTCTAACAATGGAGACTGATGCTCAAGGTACCACATTGAGTCATTTATTTAACATCCTGTAATTTCAGCCAAATATTGTTATATTCCTGTGAAGAAACCTCCAGCATCTTAATAAAGCTCCTTCTTTTCAAAGAAAGTTTCTATTAGACCAAAAGAAAATACATAACTCATTGTGGCCAGTCAGTGCTCTGCTTCAGACTCACTGCGTTGCATTGATAATAGCTGGGAGGCCCCGTGAATAGAAAGTGATAAACCCTCTTATAACCTAAGCTCCAAAGACAGTTTCACTGGTATGGTTCCCAAGCTTGTACCTCTGATTTAGGGCTCTGATGTACTGTAATCCACAGCCCTATGATCACTATGCAAATCACAGCTTTGTGTTTCAGGTGGTCAGTTTGGGCCCACATTAGTGGCCCTTGCTTCTTTTTCTTCCTTTTGCTTTGATCATGCAGTGCAATAGCACATGCTCAATAAATTATGCAAAGAATTTCTTCAGATGTAGAGCTACTGTGACATTATGTGATATGGTTTTCTTGCTGTATTTTGACATTTTGTGAAATTTAATTGCATTTGATGATGCTGTCAGTCTAACCAGGCCAGAGCAGCAGTGTTACACGCTATCATGCTCAGCAGTGTCTCCAGGAAGGTGGTGGAGAAGGTGGTTTCCTTCCCTAGTTCCATTGTTGTGTAGTTCATTATGTCTTAACTACACTCAGGGCTAATTACAAGTCATGACGACAGTTGGACAGGATTCTCTTTAAAGTGTATATTTAATCTTCAAGTAGAAACAAATCTTTCCATCTTTAGAGTGATTTCTATATTGGGTTATTGAATAAGTTGGCTTCCTACTTTTTCCTGGTCTGTGTTCAGGGATGTTTTTATTATGTGCCACGGATACTCAATGATTATCCCAGTTGTGATTTAGGATGATTATGCCTAACACTTACAGGAATGGAACTTTCAGGATTATTAAGAAATTTAAGGTGCAGTGTATTTGAAAATGTTATAAATCTGGTGATGGGTGTTATAAGGCACAACTGTTACAAAAATCCTGACGAGAAACACAGTTGGTCTCTGTCTCTGTCCATATGTCTTTCTTGGCTAATGCTCCATTACTGTTTGAGCTGAAAATCTGGAATAGGTGGAAGAGAGCTATTAGAAATCTTAGAAAGCTCTTCTCTGGGATTGTGTTAAGATTGTGAAGGTGGTGGAGACTTTGTTACTAACAGGGTAAATACTGTATTAAATGTCCCCTACTTCTATGAAAGCAGTTTTCACATGAATTGCTTTTGAATTACACTAAAAACATAGAAAATATTTTAGTACTTAGAGCACCCACTAAAAAATAACTTAAAAAATATAGCTACAAGATTGTCCAAAAATTAACAAGATAAACTAAAAATATTTTTAATTCTATAAAAGGCAGGAAACAAGAAACAGATGCACCAAAATAACTCAAATATTAAAAAATAGCAAAATGGCAGACATACATCTAATTATATCATTAATGACATTACATATGAATGGATGAAGCACTCTAATCCAAGGGCAGAGACTATCAGAGTAAATTAAATAAAACATGGTTCAACTATATGCTGTCTATAAGTGATGCACTTTCAATACATGTTGTCTATAAATCCCACATTTTGATTCAAAGATGCAAATAGGTTGAAAATAAAAGGATGGAAGAAGATATGCCATTGAAACAGTGACCAAAAAAGAGTTTGAGTGGCTATATTAGTATCAGACAGAGTAAACTTTAAGAAAAAGTGATTAATAGAGACTAAGAATGACATTTGCTATTGATTAAAGGGTAAGTATATGTAAAATATATGACAATTATAATTGTACATGCACCATTTAAAGGGCCCTAAAATATACAAGGCAAAATCTGACCTGCTTGAAGAGAGAAAAATGACAATTCAAATGTTACAATTGGATATTTCAATACTCATCTCTGAGTAATTGATAAAACAACTATACAAAAGATCAGGCAGAATAGACTACTTACCCTATTTTAATAAACTACCCTATTAACTAGACAAAACTCCCATGTATAGAACACTTCACCCAATAATAACAGTATGTACTTCTGTTTCAAGCATACACAGAACATTATCCAGGATAAACCATATATTAGGTCATAAAATTAGTCTCAATAGTTTTTTTTAGGATTGGCTTGTAAAAAGTATGTTCTTTGACTGCAACGGAATTAAATTAATAAACAACAAAAAAGAAACATGGGAAATTCCCAAATATTTTGAAATTAAACAGAAACATTTCTAAATAACCCATGGGTAAAAGAAGAAATAAAAAGGAAAGTTATGCAATATCTTGAACTAAGTTAAAATAAAAATACAACATATCAAAAATTATGGGGTGCAGCTAAGGAAGTACTTAGTGAGAAATTCATAGATTTGCATAATTATATTGGAAAGGAAGTAACATCTAAAAATCAGTAATCTAAGTAAATACCTTAAGAAACTATGGAAGAAAGAGCATATTAAACCCTAAATAAGTAGTAAGAAGGAAGTAATAGAGATTACAGTAGAAGTCAATAAAACAGAAAACAGAAAAATAGAGGAAGTCAGTGAAAACAAAAATTGTTTATTTACAAAGACCAACAATTTAATAAATCTTTAGTTAGACTGATGAAGAAGAAAAAAGATATACAAATTACTAAAATCAGGAATGAAAATGGAGATGTCGTTGCAAAAAGAAATTAAAAGGAATACAAGGAACTATTAAGTGCAACTTTATGCCAAAAAATTAGATAATTTTGGTGAAATGGAAACATTGCTAAAAAGCACAAATTACTGAAACTGACACAAGAAGAAACAGAAAACCTTAATATATCTATGTTAAGAAAATAAATAATTTGCAACTACATGGATAAACCTGGAGGATATACTATTAAGTAAAATAAGCCAGACACAGAAAGACAAACACTCCATAATCTCACTTGTATGTGGAATATAAAGAAGTTTAATTCATAGAAATAGACAGTGGAATGGTGGTTACCAGGGGATGGGGTGGGGCTGGAGCAAAAAGGAAAGGCTGGAGAGAAATTAGTCAAAGGATACAAAATTCTAGTTAGATAAGAAGAATAAGTTCAAGAGATCTGTTGTAAAACATGGTGACTACATTTAAGAACAATGTACTGTATTCTTGAAAATTGCTGAGAGTAGGCTTTAAGTGTTCTCACCACCAAAAAAGTAAGTATGTGAGGTATTGATATAGCCATTCTACAATGTACACATAGTTCAAAAAAATTGTTGTATGTGATGAATATGTACAGTTTTTATTTGTCCATTAAAAATATTAATAAAAAAGAAAATAAGTTAGATCGCTAACTGAAAATCTTCACAAAAAGAAAAGCCCAGGTCTAGATATCTTCACTTTTGATTTCATCAAAAATTTACCAAGAAGTAACAATTCTACACAAACTCTTTCTGATAATAGAAGAAGCACATTCTAACTCATATTATGAGTCTGTTTCAGATAGCTATCTGATATCAAACTGGACAAAAACATCCTAGAAAAGGAAACTATAAACCAATATTTTTCATGACTATAGACACATAATGTATTAACAAAATATCAGCAAATTAAATTGAACACTCCATGACTAAGTGGAGTTTATCCCTTGAATGCAAAATTGTTTAATATCTGAAAATAAAATAATATAAATATAATACACCATATTAATAGAATAAAGAACAAAAACCATGCAATAATTTTAAGAGATACAGAAAAGCATCTGAAAAAAATTCAATATGTATTTTGATAAAACTTTAAAATGACAAGTAGAAGGGAACTTCCTCCAACAGATAAGTGGAGTACAATTTACATTGTACTTAATAGTGAAAGACAATTCTTTTAAACAAGGCCAGAAAGAAGCCAAAGATGTCCACTCTGATTACTTTTATTGCCTATTTTACTGGAAATTTAACCAGTGCGAAGGGCAAAAAATAGAAATTCAAGGCATAGGGATTAAAAAGAAAGAGGTAAACTGCCTTTATATAGACATAATATCATTTTGTATGTAGAGAAACCTAAGGAATCTACCAAAAAAGTGAACTAACAAGAGAGTTTAGCAAGGTAGCAAAATATAGATCAATATGCAAAAATGAATTGTGGTTTTATATACTACCAAGCAACAATCTCAAAATTAAGAAAACCCTTACATTCATCACAACTTAAAAAAGAATAACATACTTAGGAATATATTTAACAAAAGAAGTGCAAGACTTGTATACCAAAAACTATAAACTATTGCTGAGAGAAATTAAGGAATATATAAATAATAGAGAGAGATATCATTTTTGTAGATTGATGAATTCAATATTGTGAAGATGGCAGTTCTTCTCAAAATGATCTATAGATTCCATATAATTCCTATCAAAATCCCAGCATGCTTTTTTCTAGGAACTGATAATCTGATCCTAACATTTTTCTGGAAATGAGCAGGATCTAAAATTGTCAAATTACTTTTGAGAAACAAGAGAAGTTTTGAGGGCTTATACCACCTGATTTTAAAACTCACTATATAATGCTGCAATATTCAAAACTGTGGTATTAGCATAAAAACAGACCTATAGAGCAATAGAACAGAATGGACACACCAGGAAAAAAAGTTTGATGTTGAATTGATTTGCTAAACATGTAAAGAGATTTCAATTGGGAAAGGAGAGCCTTTCCAACCAATTCTGCTGAAACAGTTGGCTAACCACATGTATACACTGCCTTTCCCTCAAAATAGAGATCTTAGACCCTTCTTTCCCCACAGCCAAAATTAACACAAAATTGATTATAGCACAAAATAGATCTAAAAGTATAAATCTAATACAAGGAACATAATCTTGATGACCTTGAGTAGGCAAAGATTTCTTAGGTATGATATCAAAAGCATCCATAAAAGAAAAAATTGATAAACTGTACTTTATTACAATTAAAAACTTTTGCTCTTCAAAGGACACCACTAGAAAATGAAGGCCAATTTAAAGACTGGGAGAAATATTTACAAATTATATATTTAATAAAGAATTTCAGAATACACAAATAATTCATATAACTTTATGAGAAGAGGACAAAAAATTCTTTAAGAAATGGGACAAAGATTATAATAGACCAAACAAAGTATATAATTTACTAGTAAGCACATGAAAAGATGCTTAACATAACTAGTCACTACTGAAAAGCAAATTAAAACCACAATGTGATACAACTACATACCACTAGAATGGCTAAAATTTAAAAGGCTGTCAATGCCAAATTTGGGTGAAGAAGTGCAGAAATTCTCTGACATTGCTGGTGGAATGTACAGTGGAATGATAAAGCCAATAGGCAGGTGGTTTCTTAAAAGTTAAACATTTCTCATTCAACCCAGCAATTCCACTCCCAAATATGTACCGAAAAGAAATGGAAACATAGGCCCACAAAAGGTCTTGTGCATAAATGTTCATAGCTGCATTATTCATTTTTCACAGTCATAAACTGGAAACAAATCAATATCCATCAACTGGTGAATGGATACAGAAGATTTGGCATATCTACACCACAAGGGAACTACTCAGCAATAGAAAGGAATGAACTACTGATATATGCAACAACACAGATAAAACTCAAAAACAGTGTGCTAAGTGAAAAAAAACAGCCACAAAAGACACATAATAGATGACTCCGTTTATATGAAATCTAATCATATGAAAAGAAAAGGCAAAAGTAGAGAAACAGAAAGCAGGTGAGTGGTTATCCAGGGTTAGGGATGGGATTGAGGCTGGCTGTAGACTGCACAGGGAAACTTTTGGAGGTGATGGAAGTGTCCTAAATCTGGATTGTGAAGATGGTTGTGAAATTGTGATAAATTTACTAAAAAACCTCAAATTTTGCATTCACATATTAAAGTGGGAAAAATTTGTGGTATGTAAATTGTAACCTAGTAAAGCTTTAAAAATAAATTGGGAAGCCAGGTGCAGTAGCTCCACCTCTAATACCAGCTACGCTGAAGGTTGAGGTGGGAAGATGGCTTGAGTCCAGGAGTTCAAGGCTGCTCAGAGCTATGATGGTGCCACTGCACTCCAGCCTGGGCCACAGAGCGAGACCCCCATTTCTAAAAAATAAATTGTAAGGATGTATGGATGGACAGATGGAAATATTTGTGATAATCAAGTACAATAAAATGTTAATAAAGTGTGTGATGGATTTATAGGTATTCACAATAAAATCCTTTTAAAAAGAGAAACATGTAAGACTGTTACTTTTACAATTAAAATTTTATGTCTTTTTTGTCCTTGAACTTATATTTTCATTTCACTTCCATTATACTCTTTACTCTAATGTAATACTTTTTTTAATCGAATAGCTTTCATTGACTATCATATTTTTCTGCAATAAAAATTTATATATCCATTTTCAAATTTCAAATTAACTATGATCATAAGGCTTGAAATACAAAAAAAGTTTCTGGATTTGGTTCTGAATGCAAACTAAATATATTTATTATACATGCATTGAGACAACACAGGGTTATGGTTAAGAACACGGATTCTGAAATCAGACTGCCTAAACTCAAAACTCAGCTCTGCCTTACTGTGTAATTTTGGGCAATTTTCTTAACCGCCCTGGGCAGCTATTGCCTCAACTGCAACATGAGGTAAAAATAATATCTAGTTCATAGGGATGTTAACAGAGTTCAATTAGTTAAAATAGGTACAACAGTTAGGGCCCATAGTAAGCCTCAATATATGTTGCTGTTATTTTCATGTTGATACTTGCCATACAAAGAAGGTAAAATTTTATTGGAAATGTCTCATGAACATCAGTTATTGCTAGAATGAGCTCAGCGTCAGTGCAATCTCTATTTTCCATTGTAACACTGCACAGAGAAATGTTTTTACATAAATTAGCAGATGGAAATGAAATAAGCTTTTCTTCCCTTAATGTATAACAAAATCACTCAATTTGATACACATGCCAAAAAAAATTGTTTACCATCTCTTCGTGTTTTATTTTTAATGATTCTTCACTAAATGACCTTGTTCAATTTTAATGAAAGCAAAGATTTAGAGACCACCTCACTAATCAAAGTTTTTTCCTTACTCTTTCCAGACATTTTTCTTTGTAACCAGAACACCAATTTTTGGATTATACATACATCTATTTGGTGCCTCAGGAGGTTTTTACCCTATGGGACAGTGGACCTTTGTGATATCCTGGGAGAAGGAAAGATTTGCCTTCCTTTTATAAGTGGTAGAAATAGCTATTGGGAAGGAGAAACAGTGTGGTGCTTGAAATGCTGACCTCAGACAAGTCATTTTAAGGAAACAATACACGTGGTAAGTCTTTGTGTGTGGCCTGGGTACGAGGGCTTTAGATTAAGTAATTTGGTCTAGGGGCCCTCTTTTCCACCAGGCATTTGAATCAGGAATGTCTCCTGACTTGAGCTCTCTATTCTTATTCCTATAGGGTAGGGGCACTCAGACAGGGCCTATTAGTAAACAGAAGGAAATAAGATGGGGAAGAAAATCATTGCTGTTATGACTGAGCGCATATTATGAACTAAAATTTGTTTGCAGGGGGTTAACCTGTTTGGACATTTTTACATAAAAAGTAGCTTTCAAACACATGATATTTTTAGTGTTTTTCGGTTGTAAAATGAATGATCATTCAATGGCATTTAATTTTAGGATTCTCTTCCATGCAGTGTTTGTTCATTTGTTTGTTTGTTTTTCAGGGATGGCTGTAATATATTTGAGAGTAGGGGAGCCTCATGGAAAGAGTATCTGAGAGGAGCTGGGAGATACAGGACCGCTTTGTAAATTGGCTTCAGGAGCATTTTGCTAAGGGCATGCAGAAATTCAACATGTTGTTTTCATGCCCTGCCTCCGGACCCCAAATTTCTGCATATTTCCCTTGTATGCTCCAACTACTCCATTAGCCTCCCTCATTATAGCTGTGTTATAAATATACTGTCATGTGCAGTTTATAGCTTGAGTTAAAAAACAATCTCCAACATCCTACTCCAGTGCATTTAAATTTTTGGCATGAGAACTTGCAGGACAACGCAGATCATTTCCATAGGTTTACAGGAATAGAGAAACAACATTTTGAACAGAAAAAAACAGAAATCTGTTTACCTCGAACGCTCCTTTATTTCCTCCCTCCAAATGATCATGTAAAACTACTGGCTATGTAAATACTTTCCCTTCTTACCTTGTAAAATATTTAATTTTTATATTTCTTGCTCTGAAAATGGCCTCTTAAGAGTTCAGGTAGGTTTTGCCAAGGACATTTGAGGGCCAGGTTGATGACAAACATTGGGCATCAGCATCATTTTGTTTCTCAGTCACGTGGTTCCTGGAATGGAAATGGGGTTCTAATGGCTGCAGAGAAAGAGCAACCTGCAGACTAAATTGGCATGCACAGGAAGTGCTAGGAGCCAAATGACTTGCAAGGGATCCGCTGTGTCCTAACAGGCCTGAAGATTGTCTGAAGACCCTGGCAAGGTGGTGCAGACTGCATTTGGAGTAGCTCAGCTTGGAAGCCAGTCAGATTGTGGCAGCAACTGATTAAAGAATGTTGTTCTGTAGAATCGATGGGAACAGAACACGACTCTAAACTCTGATTGTCTGAGGAAGGAGAAAGTATGTTTGTGCACACTATGCCAGTGAGGGGCCTGTTCTGTTTGGTGCAAAGTTGTTAAAACAACCTTTTTGGAGCTGATCATAACTTGGTGGTGGTCCTTCTCTTAGCAAATTAACCGTGTCATACTTGTTCAAGACAACTTGCCTCATGCTGAGTGCCTATCTTTCTGTGCATAATTTTCCTCACATATATTTTCACATGATGGTGAGGTATTTGGATAGCATTTTATGCTTTTTACTATGTTTTGCAGATGTTATGTCAGATTCAGAGCAACCCCAGGAAACGTATCTTACAGGTCAGTGTCAATAAACATTGAGTTAAGTTATTAAATTTTTTGGAAAATGGACACGAAAGGCATTTGTAAATTTTAAAGCAAAGTTTGTAAAGCAGAAATAGAGCCAGAAGAGTATCATCCAATCACCATGGTTTCTATTGCCATCTGGGGGTTGAATTCTGAAAGAAGTCCCCAGAACAGGTAAACAGGCTCAGTCAAGCCGGTACGGGTGAGGAGTTTCTCTGATTTCTTTTTCATATTTTGCCTCTTCCTTTTTGACATCTGTAAAATCCTCACAACTCTTCAGGGCTTTTATTTCTCGTAAATTGTATTTTTAAGTTCTGTTTTCACTCAACCCTTTTTAATTTGAAGATTTATTTTTCTTGTTCTTTTTTTCCTTTCTACTGTCTTTCTTGCATTGTTTTCATGCCAAGTATTGTTCCAAATGTTTTACATGGATTACCTTACTTAATGTTTACACAGCCCTATGAGATTATTCTTACTATTGTTGTTATTATTATCTCTCCCATTTTATAGAACATAAAACAGGCTATGAAGGTTAAACGTGTAGATCTAAAGTTTCTTAGTTAGGAAAGGATTCAGACTCATTTATTTGAGTCCAGACATTTTAGCTCCATAGAACATAGTCATATGTTTTTAAAACAGCTCTACAAAATGTCATCTCTAAACGCTGAAACTTTTCTGTAAATTTGAAAAATCATACATGTACTTTCTCTTTATAGATGGAATAGAAATTGATATTGTTATATTGTGCAAAAAGAAACAAAAACGATTTATTTTTTTTCTCATTTTGCTGATCTACACCTGTTCAATAGCATTCCTCGCTATTTTTTTTCCTGCTTCTAGAACTGATCTGGAAGGATGTGCACTTGTCAGAAACAGCACTTTATTTTATTCCCCTCTTTATTAGAGACACAAACTAGCTCACTTTATTCAGAAGAAAACTAAGGTAACATTTTGTTTTGACGTTGTTCCTATTTAGGATACTGATTTGATTCGCAAAGGTTCTAAAGATTGTGGATGTGTCTTTTTATAGATTACTTCTCCTTTATTACATCTCCCAAAAAGCAAGGCTTAGGAGAATATATTCTGAATTTAGGTTTCAACTATTGTGGATTTTTTTTCAAGGATCTTTTTTTTTTGGAACTTATTGAACAAATCAAAGATTTTCAGAGGACTTTCTATTCTGGGTATGCTATAGCTCTGATTGGAAAATTCTAACATGCTCTGACTATACGTTATGCCATATACCTACAAGGATTGTGGGAAAAAGTGCTTTTAGAGCAGCAGTCCTTAACAAGGCATCCATGGGCTTTAGGGGGTCTCATTGCAATTGTCTGCAACATTTGTTTATCGAAGTTCAAGGGAGTCTCTGACATTTTAAGGGCACTGCTTTAGATGATCTCTAAAGTTACTTCCAATCAAATTATTTACTTTATGGTTTTCGTTGATTATGATTAGTAGTTCCTCTCTTTGTCTTTCATATGGATTTAATTAGTAAATAAAGTATATTAAGTCTGTTGGGCATATCCTTGCACAAGCATTATGTCTTGCATAAGGATTTGTTCCTTGACTCACTCGTTTACTGAATTCACTGTGCCAAAGCAAAACCATGTTTCCTCAAACTAGGTACAATCACCCAGTTATAAACTCATGGTATTCTGTATTCTCCGTGGCAATTTCATCACAGTTTGCAAATTATGTATTTGTGTGATGTCTTCCTCACTGGACTGGAAACTGCAGGATGCCAGGGTCACCGCGGTGTTGAGCACACTGCCTGACGCATGATAGAATCTTAAAACATAGTTTGTTTTATTTTGTTTTGTTTTTTGAGATGGAGTCTCGCTCTGTAGCCGAGGCTGGAGTGCAGTGGCGCGATCTCGGTTCACTGCAAGCTCCATCGCCTGGGTTCATGCCATTCTCCTGCCTCAGACTCCCGAGTAGCTGGGACTACAGGCGCCCATCACCATGCCCGGCTAATTTTTTGTATTTTTAGGAGAGATGGGGTTTCACCATGTTAGCCAGGATGGTCTCGATCTCCTGACCTCGTGATCTGCCTGCCTCAGCCTCCCAAAGTGCTGGGATTACAGGCGTGAGCCACTGCACCCGGGCCCAAACATAGTTGTTGAATGAATGTATGTCTTGTAGTGCCTAGTGTCTAACTGAGGCTCATTTTATATCTGTTGTAAAGAAGTACACTTATCATCATGGATGCAAGTACTGTAGAAATAGAAAATAGAAAATAGAAAAAAAATACAATACAACATGATTGCTATCCTCCAGTGTTTACAGTTTCATAGAGGAAAAGGGAATATCAAATCGCTACTTCCCAGTGAAGTACTGCAGGAGAAGAAGAAGGAGCGGGGAGAGAGCGGGCTGCAGGAAAGGAAGGCTTCTCAGTGCAGAGGAGACTTGGAGGAGGATTTGTAGAGAGAACTGGGGAGAGAACATCTCAAGTTCAGTTGAAGAGCAAGACCAGCAAGAAAAGAGAGGAAGACCACAAGACGCAGAGACCAATCCAAGGATAACATAAGAGTCTGTGGACTTTCCCAGTTGCAGTGCAGTCTTCCATTTCCTCTCCCCTCAGGCACAAAAAACAAGTGCTTGGCCTAATGTAAGTGGGCAAGGGGCCCACTAGGGCCAGGCTAGTGAGCTGTTGGAAATTTGTGATAGGAAAAGGATTTTTTTTCTTTTTTTCTTTTTTTTTGTATTTTTAGTAGAGAAGAGGTTTTGTGTTAGCCAGTATGGTCTCGATTGCCTGACCTCGTGATCTGCCCGCCTCAGCCTCCCAAAGTGCTGAGATTACAGGTGTGAGCCACCACACCTGGTGGGGAAATGATTTTCAAACAGGAGTAAAGGCAGTGCGGGGAGGAGTAGCAGAGCTCTGATACATGGCCTTGTGACACAAGGATGCTCCAGCTGGAGAGCAGAGGAGGGTGAGATGTGGAGGTGGGCAAATGGTGAGATGCTGAGGAATTACATAATAGCAGCTAAGCAAGCCCATTCTAGGAGACAGAATATCTGTGGGCCAAGTAGCATATGTGTCTCCCATGAACCTCGTAATGAAAATGAGGATGGCTGGAGCAGAAACAGAGCCAAGCAAGGAGAATCTTCATGCCCATCATGGCAGAGGGGCCTTTAGAGTTGGGGTGTTGCACATATGTAGCGTGGTTCTAAAACCAAGATATCCGCAGCATAATTCCAGGCATCCACATTGTATTTACTTTGGGACATTTAGCCTTCTGCCCAGTAATTTTTTCCCCTAATGCCCCAGCATGTCTGCCTCATGAGACTCAAGATGGCCCAAGGTGTAACTGTTTTATGTTCTTAAGAATACGGGAATAGGAATAGAATAACCTTCGTGTGCCACTACTCCCAATTACATGCTTTCCACAAATAAGCACGTTCACTTTTTTCTCTTATCATTGCTCCTTCCCCTCATTACAAATCATAAATTAACCGTATCCTTTAGGATTCATTTTCCTTATTCTTTTCTTTTTTGTCACAAATCAATAAGAGCAACAACAACAACAACAACAAACCATCAACTTAAAAAAAGAGGAAGAAAGAGAGAAGGAAAGAAAGAGACCAGCTTTGTAGAATGAGAAACCACAGCACAGGAACTGAAGTTTACCAAAAACACCGTAAGAGAGAGTGTCATCAAATAGTGTTAATGATAAAATTCTGGCAACTAGGAAACTGATTCTAGTCATTCATTTTGAAGAGAAATAATTATTTTTATGGATGACTGTTCCCAAGTGGTTGACGATTCCTAGAGTCAGTGATCCAAATGAAAGCATCTGTTTTAAAACCTGTTAAAGTACTTCCAGAATCACTTCTTCGCTTTTCCATATTCAGTGAAGAAGCCAAAATGTGGCTAGAAGTAATTACTTCAGACTGAGCTCTGATGCTAATCGTGCTACCTCATTAGCATTGTGGCTCAGAGAGGAGCCAGAGTATATTTTTAATGAGTTTAGAATGGCAATAAAATTAAAGTGGAATTGTTGGGCAGAAGGAATATGTAATCCTATTATACTAATGTCTCAACATAAAGGGAATAATGGTTGGGATTGTGTTACTTTTGCTCTTGTCTCTGCTTTTAGTGTTCCTGGCTGCTCAAGCTCTTGCCCTTTGGGAGATGCACACTCGCCTCACACCTAACCTATTCCCTTCTTGCAGATGCCAGAGCAGCTTTCAGTCTCTCCATGAAACTCTTCCTGGCCACCAGATGCATCTTCCTCTGAAAGCTGGTGGCATTATCTGGGCACCATAAACTGAGTTATTTAATTCATTTTACATTTTCTTTAACTGCCATACACAAATGGTCTTAATAGATTGATTTTTTTTTCCTAGAACACATAGGAAAAGAATATGTAGAGGACATAGGCAACATTCTATTTTGTTCAACAATTCACTTTTTGTGGAATTATTATGTATACAGAATGTAATTGACAATAGATATGCAAATCTACCATAGTACCCAGGTTCCCATCCAGAAGTGAATACTCATCTTTGCAAACATCATATTAACTCTTTCTAATGAGCACACCATCAAATAAGGAGGCCCTGAAAGACACAATGTCATTTATTCATTCATTTATCCATCCATCCAGAAATATTAAGTGCTAGTGGTGATGTTGAGACACAGATATAAAAAATATTGTAGACGAAGTTCCTGCTCTCACAGAGATCACTATCTCTATAAATGTAGAGGGACAGAAATGATGTTAGAACCAAATCACGAAGTACTGTGTATGTCATAGGAAGGCATTTGAATTTTATTCTTAATTTTACGGGAAAATGTGGAGCTGTTAAGTGAGGAAGTAACAGGAATGATTCATGGTCTAGAAAGATCTTTCTGGAATCATGATGGGTGATAATAGTGGAGCAGAGATGTGGCAGAGTAAATTTCTATAAAGGGACATCAGAAAAGACCAAGATATTCAAGAAAATCTCTCCAAACAGAACACTTTAAGAACAGGGATATTGACCAACAATGAGGAAACAGTAAATACTTCTGGATGAATACTGAAACAGTTTAAAACTTTTTTCTCGGTCACTCATATCAAAGATGGATTAAAACGACTGGAGACTTAATGGCTTTTAGAAAGGAATTAATTTTGCAAACAAAACTTTGGTCATAATTCTATGCATTTTGTTAAACTAATGTGCAGTGAGAAGCTTTACTTATCTATTTATTCAATTAAACATGGAGAATTTACAAATAAAATGGCACTCAAGGATATTCATTGAAAATATTTTATGGTTTAAGAAAACTTTTTTCTCACACATAGAATTTTATTAGTAATAAGATACACCAAAATTCAAGTTTTCTTAATCTTTTCTGTGTTCTCTTCCAAGAGTTCAAGTATCAATTTTCATATTTAAAAATGTGTAAAAAGCAACTTACAAAATACAGTGAAAGCAATAAAATATTGTTGAGACATGTGAAAGGAAGAATTTCACATGAGCAAATATTATATGGTTGACCTATCAGAGAAATTCAGGGGTCTTGCTCTGTGCAGCTGTTACATACTCTACTGTGAAATTTGTTAAAAGAAAATAATTTCTTGTTCCAGATCTAGTTCCTCCATCTCATGCCACTCCTGTCTTGGAACAAATAGGGCATTCCTAGCTTGAGTATCTTGTAGGGTCCAGAGTTAAAGATTCTACTTGTACATATAAACTCATCTTGTCCTCTCTCAGCCTTGATGGTAGATTTATAACCCCACCTATCAAAAAGTCAAAATTCTGTTGCTTATTAGTCCCGATAAAGTAGCAGGAGTTTCTGCAAAGGGAACATTGACAGGCCTAATTGTTCACAGCTATAGAGTGTAGGGTTGGTTCCAGCCATGACATGTTAACCCTCTCTCTCCCCATATCTTGACTTTGCAGATAGGAGCTGGGCTCTCAGGATCCATATTAAACCAAAATCAGATGTTCATGATACTGAAGATCTGTTCATATGCTGGGAAGACTGAGATGTTGATTTGAATTTGATAACATAACGGTTCGTATCACATGTTTGTGCAAGAATGTCCATGCAGAAGTCTGACTGCTTTTTGTGGGGGTCAACCAAGTCAGAGACTGGAACGGCTACAGAGGAAAGGTATCTTCTTGGTTTTCCTATGAAGTTTCTTTTAAAAACATAATAATGAAGAGTTTATTTATAAATGTCCTCAGAGCAGAGATAATATAAGTCATGCGTAGAGACCAAATCCCCCAGAAATATTAGAGAAGTCTTCAGAATCCATTCTTGTTGTCATGCACAAATCCTTTCTGGACATCTGTTGTGACAGGACACCATGTTTTTCTCAGCAGCGTTTTGTAATTTTCAGTATGCAGGTCTGGTATGTATTTTGATAAAATTGTCTGTAAATATTTTATATTTTGCTTATTATAAATATATTGTTTTAATTTCATTTTGCAGTTGCTCATGGCTAATATATGGAAATACTATTGGTCCATACTATTGATTCAATAGTATTTCTAAATACTACGTAAAGAGAGACTTGAAGTAGAATCCAGGGAGGAGGGACATGTTCATGTAAGGGTAAAAGACACAGCAAGATAGATCTTATGCCAAGTGCTAAAAAAGCAGGAGGAAAGAGGAGAACTCATAGGAGAATCAGAGAGAATTACAGGGATCAATAAGAGGTACAGTACAAGGTCTGCAAAGCAAAGAACGGAATTTTCAGGAAGGAGAAGATGACCAACAGCATAAATTATTACAGCAAAGTTAATGAAATCAAAGACTAAAAATAAGTAAGGTAATTGCACTTAGCTATTTGGAGGTTGTCAGTGACTGGAACATGCAGTTTCAGTTGAGTGTGGATGACGAATTGGACAATGTGAACACAGCTTAAAGTAGGACATACTCAAGATTATAGTCATCATGCATAACAAAGTATTAGACAATTGAATCTGGCCATATATATATATATAAAGATAATACACCACTAAATTATACACACATACACATGCACCATAAATAGTTGTTTTATCTATTAATGAAATTAACCATATAAATATAATAAGGTAAAAAATAAAGAAAACACACCTATGATCATCTCAGTAGATGTAGAAAAACATTTAGCAAAATGCTATATCCATTTATGATTTTAAAAAACTCTCAGCAAACTAGAAATTAAAGGGAACTTCCTTAATCTAATAAAAGGCAACTAGAAAAAATCTACAACTAATATCTTACTTAGTGGGGAAAGCCTGAACAAAATTAGACAAATGATATAAATCATTGCTCTCACCATTTATATTCAACATTGTACTAGAGGTCCTAGAAAGTATAATAAGGCAAGAAAAAAATGCATACAAGTTGGAAAGGAAGAAGTAAAACTAGAGTTACTCACAGACAACATGACCATGAACCTAGATATTCTAAAAGACTCTCTCTCTTTCAAAAAAAAAAAGCCTACTACAACTGGTAAATAGGTTTAGGAAGGTAATAGGATAGAAAGTTAGTATGCTAAGACCAATGATATTTCCATGTACTAGGAATGAGCAACTGCAAATGAAATTAAAATAATATTTTTTGATAGGCAAAACCATAAAATATTTACACACAATTTTATCAAAATACATACCAGACCTGTATGCTGAAAATTACAGAACTCTGCTGAGAAAAATCAATAAAGACAAAATAAATGGAAAGGCTTCCTTGTTGTGTTCATAATTCAAAAATTTCAATATGGTTAAGATGTTGATTCTCTTCAACTTGATCTAAAGATTCAACAACATTCTAATAAAAATTCCAGCAGGGGATTTTTATTTACAAAAAATTTCTTTTTAAATTTTAAAATGGTAAGTTTTGGGAATTCAAAGAACCTCGAATAGCAAAAACATTTTGATGAGAAGAAAAGGTTGGAGAACTTACAACTTGTGATTTTAAAACTTACTATGAAGATATGGTAACCAGAGGAGTGTGGTTTTGGCCTATAACAGACACACAGAGCAGTGCAGCCAAATAAAGTCCAGAAGCACCCACACCTGATTTGTCAATCGATATATCAAGAGAATCTCATGGAGAACAAAATAGGTTTGTCAATAAATAGTATTGTGAAAATTGAATATCCTAATAAGAGGAATAAAAGAACCTCAGTCCTTCCCTTACACCCTATTCAGATATTAATCCTAAATGGTGTACAGACAAAAACACAAAAGCAAAATCTATAAACCTTTCAGAAGAAATAAAAAACCTTGGAACAGTCAAAGATTTCTTAGACAGGACAAAGAACTAACCATAAGAGGAAAATCTGATAAACCGTCCTTCACTAAAGTATAAAGCTTCAAGAAATAAAAATGAAAAGGCAAACCTTAAACTGGAAGAAAATATCTACAGTGCATGTGTCTGACATAAGACTTTGTTCTAATTATATAAAGTTTACAGCACAATAATAAGAAGCCAAACAACCAAACTGAAAAGAATGGACATGCAATTTGAACAGGCATTTCATAAAACTAGATCTATTTGTGGCAGTGGCCAATAAGCACATAAAAGATGCTCAACATGATGAGTCACCAAGGAAATACAAAATAAAACCTCACTAGAGCACAGTTCGCCCACTAGGATGGTCAAAATTAGGACAATAGCAATGGTGAGGGTGTGAGGCACCTGGATTGCATATATTTCTGGTAAAGTGTAAAATAGTAAAATTATTTGAAAAAGAATTGGTAGTCTTTAACACAGGGAAACTTATATTTAACGTAAGTCCTAGCAACCCCACTCCCTTGGTATTTACCCGGGAGAAATGAAAAAGTGTGTCCACAGTAAGGGTTGTATGTGAATGTTTGTAGAAGACTTACTCATAATAGCTAAAGTGGAAACAATCCAAAAGTCCATCAACAGGTGAAGTATAGACAAACTGTGGCACAGACAAACACCAGAATGCTACTCAGCAATAAAAGATTGCAAATGACTGATACACACAACAAGATGGATTGGTCCTAAAAACATAATACTGAGTAAAAGAAGCCAGACCCAATAAAGTATGTGCTGTACAAATATCTAGAAGAATCAAACTAATCTATACTGACAAAAAGCAGATGAATGGTTCTCACACAGGGGGAGGTCGGGAATGACTGCTGGGGGATACAGGGTACCTTCTGAAGGAGATGAATATGTACACATCTGTCAACGTCTACCTAAGTGTAGACCTGAAATGTGTCCATGTTATTTCATGTAAATGTTATCCAAGAAAGGTGATTCAAAAAGTTAAAAATCATGATCTATATGCAACTTTTATGATTTTATTTTGCTTTGTCTTTTTAAATAAGATTAATGTTATGGGTCACTCTATGTCCTGTGTAGTTAGATTTGGTATAATTAAAAATTAATGACAAAATCCTTTAAGTTAATGGTGTGAGCAATGTTTGAATTCAGCTCTTAAAATATGAACCTCCACAGTATGTAACCAAGTGGTTTTTCAGACCACTAATTAAAATCTTTGAAACTTATTTGGTTGCACATACTAGTTTATTCTGAGAAGTGTCAGAAGTTATTAGATTCTTGTTCCATCTCTTCATTTTCTTCTTGTTATTTTAATAAAATGAAAATGTAAAAAATGTTATATTGGCTGATTTCAATCTGATGAAAAAATTTGTCTGTCAGCCATAAAGTGTGCATAAGAAAATACTATTCTCCTGTTTTCAGAATTAATGTGCTGAAACCAGTTAGTGTTCATTTTCCACTGGAAACACACTTGCTTTTGGTTAAACTTTTTATACACAGTAGAAAAGTCATGGATCTCAGAAACATGTTAAGAGCAAGATAAAGAGAGTCATGTTTTTTCTTTTTTTTAATTTTGTGTTAGTCTTTATTGGTTTACTCTTTGCATTGTATCAACTTGTTGGTGGAAGGCAATTTAGTCTCTAGAGTCTGAAATGTTACAGAGAAAATTTTACAGAGGAATTTGATTGGGGCATAAGTTCAGGTTTAGGCCAAAAATATATCTTTAAAAAAACAAATATGACCATGATATTAGTCAGATTTTTAGAAAACAAGCTATGATTGGAATTTTTCTTTCATAAATTCGATTTGCTGAATTAAATACATACTGTGCAAAGCAATGTGTTGGGACAGTAAACACAAACAAGAAAGGCACTGTCCCTACATAATTAAACAAACCCAACACTTTCTCGATTTGAACTTCAATTTACATGTGATTTGGTGATTGATACAGCACCAATGTGATGGTACATCAGTGAGAAAAGGAAACTGGCTGTAAACAAAATGGAAATGTTAGGCTAACAAGCCTCTGTGAGGCTCCTTAACAATATGAAACTGTATATTCTTTAAGTGTTACCTAATAATATTCAGGGCCACTGGTGTGTGAGTTAGAATGAGGTGTGAGCATGAGGCTTGGTGGACCCATGAGTTGGTAGGCAGGGCACCCTTGTGCATTATCAGGAAGTCTTCCCCTCTCCAAGACAGATGCAGCCTCCAGTGGGAGCACGTGGGTTGCATTTCTATCCCTATTTGTCATCTTAGCTGGGCTCCTTCACCCCACCGTGCTGTGGTGGTCTGACCTCAGCATGCAAGCTGAATTAACACAAAGATTGTTGAAAGCCAAATTAAGTTTTATCTTTTAGGACATTTCTGTGTTACATTTTCTTTTTCTGCCCAGGAAAGAGGAGATTGACAGACATAAGAGGGATTGTCTCATTTCTGTACTTACCCGAGTGGGATTTCTTCACTCCCAGGCTGTAGAAGGCGATTCTCTATTTATGTGTGGCCCCAGAAGGCACAGACTATAGATTTAGTAAGTTTAGTAGAGCCATGGTAACTGTTCTAATAATGGCTACTTTGGGTGCCTTTAAATGATTGGGCATTGTGTTGAGCCACACATTGTCTCATTTAATTCCTTTTAACAGTCTTTAAGGGATAAATCAGGCTGAGCATTTTACAGCTGTGTCACCTGAGACCTGGGTAAGCCCAGTCTCCCAGCTCATACTTAACTGCTAGGATGCCAACACTAGCCTGTCTCCCTCCCTCAATTGTGATGAATTCACCACATCAAGCTGCCCCTGTAGTAATGTGGCCACCTTTTTATTTGAGAGCTTAGATTGAGAGGTCACTCTGGAAACAGAGGCCCAAAAGGTTCAGAAACATGCACAGTCACACAACCAAAACTAAACGGTTGGCCCAAAGGGGTCCTGATTAAAGCATTTTAAGAATCAAAACAGCTGTCATCAGGAAGCCCAGTCCATGAGTAGCATGGACCAGTTTGTAGTTTTTGTTCAGGGGTTAGGAAGAGGTGGATCAGTGCGGTGGATAAAGGCTTGTGCTTGTGGGAATCAGCTGGGGCTGTGTGTCTGTGGCTTGCTGTGTGACTGCCTCCATTTCCATTTCAGAAAATGAAAACCATGATAATAGCTCCTATCTAGATAGAGTGAAGATCATATGGGACCATCAATATATAATCACTACTATGAATTGTAGTCTGTGTAATACAATGTTAATATTGAGTGTCAACTTGATTGGATTGAAGGATGCAAACTATTGTTCCTGGTTGTGTCTGTGAGGGTGTTGCCAAAGGAAATTACATTTGAGTCATTGAACTGGGACAGGCAGACCCACCTTCAATCTGAGTGGGCACAAGCTAATCAGCTGCCAGTGGGGCTAGAATAAAAGCAGGCAGAAGAACGTGGAAGGACTAGACTTGCTGAGTCTTCCAGTCTTCATCTTTCTTCTGTGCTGGATGCTTCCTGACCTCGGACATCAGCCTCCAAGTTCTTCAGCTTTTGGACTCTTGGACTTACACCAGTGGTTTGCCAGGGGCTCTCAGGCCTTTGGCCACAGACTGAAGGCTGCACTGTTGGCTTCCCTCCTTTTGAGCTTTTGGGACTCAGACTGATGCACCACTGGCTTCCTTGCTTCTCAGCTTGCAGACAGTCTATCGTGGGACTTTACCTTGTGATCATGTGAGTTAATTCTCCTTAATAAACTCCCTTTCATATATACATATATTCTATTAGTTCTGTCCCTCTAGAGAACCCTAATACATACAAGAACCCAGGACAATATCTGAATGAAAAAGAAAAAAAAATCTACTTTGTGATAAGGACAGAAAAGTAGTTTGGGAATTAATTTGATTTCTGTTTTGTTCATAATTGTCTATGTGGCATATAACCACTGCTCACTCCCATACCCAGGCCACCTGAAGACCAGAGTGAATGACTGGGATTCTGCAGACAGACTTCCTCATTTCAGGATGCATCATAGATGTGGATCAACTTCAACCATAGTATTTTTTATTGATTTCTGATTTTTGCATTGTAAATATCTTATGCTTTGGTTGAATTGATTAAGAATATTAAATTACCAGCAAGGATGCATACATATTAAATAATAGGACAGACCAGAATTTCTAGTTTCCTCAGCAACTTTCCAACTTAAACTTTCTTTGCGTGTCTTGAATATAGATGCCCAGGTCTACAGAAAAATTAGGAGAAGGTTTCAACATTTGTATAACCAAAAGGAATATGTATTTCATTTTCACATACCATGAATATGATATACACATGATTTCCATGATATTGATAGACACATTAATTGAACTTTAAAATCCTGCTATGGATAATGTTGGTATACATGTTTTGAATACTCTGTGCTAGGGTCAATGTGGTTCTTATTTGTACTCTAAAATCTTACGCGTGGCTTTCCCCCAAGGATCTGTGAGTGAAATTCAAAATAAAAAAATAAAATAAAACACATGCTAGATATTCTAAACGTGAAGGCTTAAAATAAATCCACAGGCTGTTTTTAACATTGTAGAGTTTGGTCTAAGGTAAAAATAATCAGAGGTCTAGCTACAGATCTACAGAGCTCTTTCTCCACACAACTTTCTCCTCGCTGTGCCCTTTGATCTCTAGCCACTGCCACTGCCACTGTAGCCTCCTGGGACTCCCAGCTCCAAGTCCATCTGGGAGACCACAGGGCTCTACCTTGGTACCACCTCTACCCTCAGCACTGTTGCCTAGAGACTCTCTCTCTAGGCCAGTAAGCTAGGGCAATTATTTTCCATCATTCAGGGGTCACTATCCTTCATTGCCTGGTGACTTTTGTTTTTTGTAGGAAGAGTGAATTTTAAAGGTATTTGGTAAGATTGTGGAGAGAATGACTTCTTTTCTACTTTCCGGCCCCATCTACAATGATAGGCAAATTCTCATGCCATAAAACCCCATTGGAAGGAGAGGGAGGGATGTGACCTGTTCTTTGCATGAGTTTTGTTTGGGCTAAGAAAGGGCTTCTTTTCTCTTTTATTAACATTATTTACACCCGTTTAATTGAGCCGTGTTTTATTATGGTTACCTACTCTGCTGACAGGCTTTGAACACAACTATGAGGGAATCTATGGGAGGAGGAGCTGTGGTCTCAAGGAAGCTAAGGCTCCAGAAGATCTTCTTTGGCTCTGGTGTGAACTCAGTGTATGAAAACCATGCTTTAAAATTTTTCTAACTCTTTATTTTGAAATTATTTTAGATTTAAAGACAAATTACAAAAAAATCATACAAACTAGGAAATTAACATTGATACGATAATACTAACTAATCTACACATCTTATTCAAAATTTGCAGTGTTCCTAGTAATGTCTTTTTTTTCTGGTCCAGAATCAAATCCAGAGCCCCATGTAAAAAATGTACCCATCTTAAGTGTACATTTTTATGAGCTTTGATAAATTTATATGCCATATAACCACTACTAAAATAATACATACATTTTTACAATCCCAAAAGAATCTCATTCCCATCACTTCACAAAGTCTATTATGCCGCTTCCTAGTCAATCCCCCCAACCCT
Source organism: Homo sapiens (assembly GCF_000001405.40). Lineage (NCBI taxonomy): Eukaryota > Metazoa > Chordata > Mammalia > Primates > Hominidae > Homo > Homo sapiens. Next base: position 30,083,494 of record NC_000012.12, on the reverse strand, counting down.
CTTTTGGTCCCCAGACTACCCCAAAACTGACCTGCTTTCTACCACTATAGATGAAATTTTGCTTTTCTAGTATTTCAAATAGATGGAACCATATAGTGTGTACTTCTTTGCATCTGGCCTCTTTTGTTTAGCATCACTGCTTGGCGGTTCATCCATGTTGTTGCATCAGTTCTTTTTTTATTGCTGAGTATTCTTTTACATGGAAATGTCTCACAATGTGTTTATTTGTTCACCTGTTGGTGAATGTTTGGAATGTTTCTGGGTTTGAGGTACCCAAAGGAGGACTGATAGGAAGGTGAACCCACACTTGCCTTGCTACTTGCTCCTTTTCCAAGCAGTGTTCTTGGCTACTGAAGGTAAATAAGAGAAACAGTAGCAAACTGGGAATCAGATAACCACTACATATTCCTGCTTCGGGACCCTCTATTGAAAGCTTTATTGGCAAAATTGACTTGGGCTTAAGGCTTAGGTGAGGCATTCTCTTCCTCCTGCCTTAAACTTAAGATGCCTTGGATTGTAGATCCACCTCTAACCTAAATTATTCACCCTATTGTAAGCACAAAATTGGGATAGATAGAGAGAAATAGAGCTAGTGTTGAGCATATGGGTTCAGGAACCAGGCTGCACAGGTTCAAGTATCAGTTCAGCTAATTACTGGATTCATGACCCTGGGCAAGGGGATTTACCTTTTGGTGCCTCAGTTTTTCTTCTATAAAGTGGGGTTAACAATAGCAACTGCTTCCTAGGATGTTGTTAGGTTTTAAAAAGTACATGTGTTTAGAACAGTGTCTGGCACCTCAGTATGCATTCACTACATATTAACCATTGTTATTTAAATATTGGCTTCGTGCATTTCTTTCATGCATGCCTGATGTTCCTTGAGGTCAGAGATTCATAAATGCAATTTTTGTCTTTTGCATTACCTCTAGGTCTACCACAGGGCTGAGCACTGAGTAGCTTCTCAATATTTGTTTTTCAAATTGAATATTGCATCTGGATTGTTCGTCATCTTCAGAGCAATGAAATTATAGCCATTCTTTGGTTGGTTTACCAAATTGAGCAGCGATATTCTGCTATCCTGAGTTATCATTCTTCTAACAGGCATCATTGATGTATTTGTATTTCTGGAAATAGTATTTGAAGTTCAAGTATCCTCCTAGGAGGGTTAAAACAGAGATTTTGCTGCCAAGAATGGGAGAGAGGTAGTAGAGTATTGATGGTTAAGAGCAAGGGTTCTGGTTCAGCATGGCCTAAGCTTCAATTTGACTCTACTTACATAGTTACTAGCTGTGGGATCTCAGGCAAGTTACTGACAACTCAGTGCCTCAGTTTTCCCTCTGTAAAATATGGACAATAGTAGTACCCACATCATAGGGTTATATTGAGGATTGATGTATTAATACAAGTAAAGCACTTAGGAAATTCTCCTGCAAAATGTAAGTTTTCAAGAAATGTTATTTTTTATTATTACTATTATTGCAAGGTGGTATATTCCCAATTTTCCAAGACAGCCTCGATGTCAAATATTCTGTTTCAGTAGCTTCATTGTGCTATAATGTATTGGCCCTTATGTCCCAACTAGGGATTCAGAAAATATAATTACAGCAGCATTGGCTGTTTTTAATCGTCTTAGTACTAACTTTAGATACCTGCATGAGTACGTGCTGCAAGTGGTAGTAATATTGTTTGCATGGGATCCTTGAAGTTTCTGGTTTGCAACAAGCTTAGACAGATGAGATAGAAGAAAAATCCCACTAAATTCTATATACTTATGATCATGTAGCTAAAGGGACATGACAAGATTCAAATTCTGGTTCATTTTTCACTGGCCCTGGCCACATTACCTCTGTGAGCCTCATCTGTAACATAAAGACAGTATTTGCTGTCCTGTCAACTTCACAAGGATCTTTCAAAGATTAAGAAAATGGACAGAAAAGCCCTATATAACCTACAAAATGATATAGAAATACATAAGGTATATACTTATGTGAGTGATTCATATTGTGGCAAACTAAGTTTTCAGATAATAGAGAAATCTCATACTTAACAAATTAATGACCAAATGGCAAAAGATTAAAATGCACTGAGAAAATACTTAGCACTTAAATCATATTGATATATGCATATAACATGTCTTTCTCACTTAGGCTTATCCACAATTAAGGGAATCTCTACTTCTTACCTCTGGAGCCTCCTCGATATTTCTAAAAGTTCTACTGATTATATCTCAGGTGATCCCCCAAGGTACTGTTGTCCACCTCTTATTCTGGCTTCTGTCACTGCTGTTACTCTCTGGCCCTTGGGCCTTGCTTCGATACCTCTTACTCTGCATCATGATGATGCCCCCTGTCATGGTCCTCAGAGTGGTGCTGTATAAATATTACGTGCTGCTAATGTTCTCTTGCTTGAGATTTGATCATGTAATCTGTCTGCCTAAGCTCTTCCTTTGCTCCCCACTCCCCTCAAAATAAAGGGCATCAGACTCCTTATCAAGCCTCCACAGCTCAGTTTCTTCTGATCCCTCCTCATCTCTCCAGTCTCACCTCTCAGCACTATGCCAGTTGTTGATCTTCATATTGAATTTCCTTCCGTTTCTTCCCCATGCCTTGACTTCTTTAGAGACTAGGCTTTTGTATATGCTCTTCCCTCTAAATTGTCTTCTAGTCACATCATGAATTCTTCATCATCCCTTATGCGTTAGCTTCAGCGTCAGTCTTTCAGGTCATTTGTTCCTGAGCGATCTCATCTTCTGCTTGCAGCTCCTCTCTGCCTGGGTTGTAGATCTGCACCCTTGGGGCTAGCTGACTAGTGGGTCTTAAACTAAAGTGCAGCGAGCTGGTCTAGGGTTTGCCTTCTTAGCTGTGTGCCCCCCTCCCTGTGGTCAACAGTTTTTCGCATAGGGTTTCTGAATCGCTTATTCTACATGGGGTTCTGTTTTACCTTGCAGTAGCCAAGACATACGTTTATCTTTTAAAATATTTTTCAGAAGTCCCTTCAGGACTGCATACTGCTTCAGTTTGTTCTTCATTTTACAGATATTTATTGTATACTGATTTTGTGCGAGGAACCATTTATGGAGACATCAAAGATGCGTGAGTTTGCTGTTTTTTAATAAAAACCAATAATTATCACATTACAGACATGCAGAAATGCCAGTGAATAAAAGATACGTTGAAAAATGCTGGGTAAAGTGGCTTTTATTTTACTTCTATAGGGTATAAATTAGTGGATGGCCTTGAATTTGGGTTTGGGTTCTACCTCTATATTTACCAGCTCTGGGTTCCTGAAGGAGAACATTTCTAAGCCTCATTTGCAAGAAGGGGAAGAGTTCTGCCTCAGTGGCTATTGTGAGGATTAGATGAGACAAAACATACAACGTGCTTCACACACGGACAAGTACATATGAAATGCACTCAATGCCAGACATTGTTGTTAAATCGAAACATCTCTGAGACTATTAATGATAGGTATGGCCATTATCACCAAAACCAATTAAAGCTATCGATTGTAGAGGGAATGGACATTGTTAGTCTGGGTTCTCTGACTAACCTAATGGTATGGTGTATTGAGAAAAGCACTGCACTGAGCATAAAGAACCTAACTTCACCTTGACTTTCGACACTTTGACATTAAATGACTGTATGACTTTGCACAAGTCACTTGATATCTCTGGCTTCATTTTTCTTATCTCTAAGGCTATGGTCCCTTCTAATTATAATATATTGAAACTTCCACTGCCATCCCTTTAATGATTTTCAAATTGGTTTAGAGAACTGAAATTATATTTCCACATGCCTCCCATATTCCCTGTTTCTACATTTCCTGATATGACAAAAGGAAATATTTTCTTGTGCACAATCCTTTCTTTATAAGTAACATGCTGGAATAACAATCTAATGTTTCAGGAAGACAAATTTTATCATAGCTATGGAACGGGATATTGAAGGTTAATTTGATCCTTGGTGTAGTCTAGACATTTGTGAGTGCTTTCTTTGACTGGTTGGACCTCTTCCTCCCTTCAGAATCTGCCTTTGAAAATCAAAGGAGACATCAAAGGTTGTTCTGCTCCTCTGTACAATACCATTGGTTATTAAGGTTTTTGTGAGGCACTTCATTGATTCAACGGAATGCATTCCAGAGAGAACCCATAGACTTTAAAATTTTCTTTTTCGTTAAGCTATAATTTTTCCTAATGTGAGCTGTGTCTTTGCTACTTTGGTCAGCTGAGAAATCTCTTTTCCTACTATTCACAAGAAAATAGAACTTCTGAATTTTTATTCTAAAAACTTTGAATTCAAACTCTTTCTCATTAGAAGATGTGACTCTTCTCCTTTATTGGGTGAAAAAATAAGAAAAATTATGTTTGTATGATTAATGTTTTGGAAGAAATTTTATATAAAGTTCTTTATGATTTATGGGTATAATGTAAAATGGTAACAACTCTTTGTAATGAATGAGATGTTGGTTACCTTACTCAAAATTTAGGCAAAAATTATCAAGTGTTTCTATATTTTGTGAAGGATTTGAGACTCTAATAGACTATTTTCATTTTAAACACCAGGAATTAAGGTGGGAAAAACTTTCACCCTAATTCCAAGTAGTTCTGCCTGCTATCCATTTTCTAAACTGGGAGAATTATTCACTTGGGTTTAGTACTGGATAGCAAGAAAAGAAAAAAGAAGAGAGTGAGAGGGTTAGCAGGGATAGGAGAGAAAGTTACAGTTGGAGCAATAAAGATTTCATAAGTTCATTTCAGTCCAGATGTATTGATCATCCTGTTATGTGGAAGGAAAATACTAGTCACTTGGTGGTACAAATGAATAGGAAATAAGAGTGGCCTTCCAGGGACTCACAAACTTGTGTGAGAGAGATGGAGAATTGCATTTTTTACTATTCTGAGGCTGATTGTGGTAAGACTGTTACACAGACACAAAGGATGAGTCAAGATCTGAGGCTCCAAGGGGAGACAGACCTGGTCAAACCCAGCCCTGCTCTTTAAACTTCATGTAAACTTGACCAAGGTATCGACCATTCTAATAGTAAGTTTCTTCCCCTGTAAATGGAAATAATGACATCTATGAGGGTCACTGTGAAGATTATGCATAGAGGATTATATAGTTATATGCATCAAGGATAATATGCAGAGATAGATAAATGCATTGGCACAATGTCAGATATATAGTAAGAGCTCACAGATGGTAACTAGGTGGTATGAAAGTCCAGGGAAGGGAGAGATTAATTCCTGCTGAGGAATTGTAGACAGTGTCTTGGAGAAAATTGGATTTTATTTAGGTCTTAAAGAATGAGTAAGTATCTGAAAGAGGCCATGGAATGAAAAGGCATTCTGGGCAGGGGAAGCTGTATATTCCAAGGTCTCAAAGTACAGAGGGAGGACCCAGAAGACATGGAGGATTTGGACATATCTGACTTGGGAGATTATTTGGATATACTGCTCATAGTCAGATTTTGGAGGTTTTGAATGCTACGTCAAGAAACCTGGACTTCAATTTCAGTAAAAACTACACATTGGAAATACATTTTATAGTTTCAAAGAGCTTTTTTTATACATTATTGTTGTTTTAATATTTACAGCCTATGAGATAAACAAGGCAAATGCTACATAATCTCATTACATACTAGAAGAAATTTGGCTTTAAAGCAGTGAAATAACACGTTCAAGAATCAATAATTAATCCCTAATAAGTGGAATTAGAACTAGGTCTCAAATGCTTTGACCCAGACAAATGTCTTGCCCAATCTGATTGCAATGGTTGCAACTGAAGATATTCAGGGGAGAGAGGGCCTGGTTAGATCTGTTCTTTGTTTGTTCATTTGCTTTTTAAAAAAGAAAGGCCAGTGAGGGAGGCCTTGGAGGTAATTAAGGTGAGAGATAACAGGGACCTGAACTGAATAACTTCCGGGGCAAATACAAAAGGGAGCAGAGCCTCAAGAGCCTTGGTGTAGGTAGAATCAATGGGATGGGAGTACTGATTAACTATGGAGGGGGAACTTTAAGAAGCAGCAATATATGGCCCTGAAGTTTGGAATCTGATGAACTAGGAAGGTGAATGTTCACGCTCAGAGAGCTTGAGATGGTTTTTGAGGGGGCAACTTGGCTGCCTTTGCAGCAGCAAACCCTATAAAACATAAATGAAATAGAAAGGTAACTAATAACATTTAAATAGTACCTCATGTTTACACAGCGCATTCAGGTTCTTTATCTCATGATTGCATTAAGTAGCTAAGAATATCTGATGTAGTGATTATTATTTCTAGGTATTTGTTCTCATCTATAAAATGGGAACTATAATGATTTGGCTCCTGGAATTATATTATGTGAGTTAATATATTTAAATTACTTATAACAGTGTCTGGTATATACAAATAGTTCCTTATTATTTTTGCTTTTGTTGTTAATTTCCAGGTGTGCTGATCATATACGATAGAATGATGAGGAAAATCCCACTGACCAATTTTGTAGGGGTAAGACAGGAGATGAAAGAGATTTAGAGAACTCAACCCCTGGAGTGTTCTCTATAGGAATTTAAGAATTTCACCCTCTGATGTAGGGTGGGGAAAAGACCATGCCATTTTGGGTTATTTTCTATTTTATTATAGGTTGCTAAATAAATAGAAATAGAAATAGAAATGTTGAAACAGAGGTAATTTCTTCAGCCACAAATCTTTCCATTATTCTAGACTTTCATTGCTATGGGAAGCTAACTTTTTAATTAAGAGTAAATTACTTGGTCACATTAGATTCACTTCTTGAGGAAATGGAATTTCTCAAGGAAGAAGAATTGCTAAATAAGGGGGAGCCTCCTAAATAAAACTTCCTAAAGTGACAATCCCAGTAAGCTGTCAGAGAACCAGAGTTTGAGAAATTTATCTCAATAGAACATTTTAAACAAAATCCCCAAACATAAAGTTTGTTTTCCTAGAACAAAGGAAGCCCTTATAATTTCATCACTGTATTAAAATAAATAAACAAAAGAAGTTGAGAAAATGAGCTTTCAGGAGCATTTTCCCATTCAACTCCAGTCCTCCCAAGCACGTTTTCCCACACTGTCATTCTCTGGACCTGCCTGCTATAATTTATTTCAATACTGTGAAGAAATTGCAAAGTACCCAGAGTTTGGTCTTTGTGGTGTTGACATGAAAATGGTACCATAAAGGAGCCGGAGCTGAGAGGAAGAGGTTACTTAGGTGGGGCTTCAGCCATTTGAGATCACAGATCATGTTGAGATTGAAGATCAGTGCGAGACTTTTACCTCAGAAAAACACATAGATGAAAACATATGCAAACTGCTACTTATAATTTCAGAGATTGCTGACTCCCCTAAGTCCCTCTTGGGACAGGAGCTGCACCTGTCTGGGGAGAGCTGGCAGTGTCTCTGAGCTTCCTCTTTACCAAGCCCACTGTAGGGGGCTAACAGAAGAAAGGTGAGATAATTAATAAACATGGTGGTCAGAGGCCTGACATGGTGGCTCACACCTGTAATCCCAGCATTTTGGGAGGCCGAGGCGGGTGAATCAGGAGTTCCAGACCAGCCTGGCCCACATGGTGAAATCCCATTTCTACTAAAAATATGAAAAATTAGTTGGGTGTAGTGGCAGGCGCCTGTAATCCCAGTTATTCGGGAGGCTGAGGCAGGAGAATCATTTGAACTCGGGAGACAGAGGTTGCAGTGAGTCAGATCACACCACTACATTCCAGCCTAGGCGACAGAGTGAAACTCCGTCTCAAAAAAAACAAAAACAAAAACAGAAAACACAAAACAAAAACAAATAAACATGGTGGTCAGGGATGAATTCAGTCCAGAGCTTGCTAAAAGGGACTCAGTTTAGTTTGTTCCAGATTCTCCTCATTTTCTCCATTTCTTAAATATTTAAATAGTCAGTTTTCTAGGTAGGTATTATTTCTGTCAGTATTATTAGTATGATTACAAGGAATTTGATATTGGAACGTGAGGGAGAAAGAATGAGGAACGAAGACACGAGATCTGAGTAAATTAGTCATCACCTCTCAGTGCCATTTGGGTACATTTAACTGTTATACACAAGGCCCCGTATATTTTCTAAGTACTAAAATAGAAGTTTCTTTTATATTAACTCACTCTGGTAAGTGAAGTCTTACAGAAACATTTTCCCAGAGAGACCTCATTCAAGAGCAAAACTTTGAGAGAGGTGGGAAAAAAATCTTCTGAAGAAAAATTGGATTAAATAAAGAGTGGTGGGGGGTGATGGAGTAAAAATGCATGGACAGCAAAAGGGAGGTGGACTGAAATGGTTGCAGACTTTTATGGTAAGATATAACTCTTTTGTCTGCTCTATGCCCTTTAATATGTAGTTAATTTGCAAGTAGTTTGTGCATAGTAATTACCTCAGGGCATAGCCAAAGAATTTATGCAAAATTTGACATTGAATAGAAAGTAAATGATCACATAACCTGCAATTGTGCTGTTCGTAGCCTCCTTCCTCTTCCCATTAGTGTTCCTGTTCAGCCAGCCTGTATATTGAACACAAACCAAGTGTTTGTGTGCTGTGTCAGGTCTAGGGTCCACACAGTCTTCCTGCTTCTCTCTGGAAGATCATATTCTGCTAAGCAAGTGTGGTCCCAAAGATTCCAGAAAAAATAAGGACACATGCTGTAAAGCAGGTGCACACCGAGCCAACCTCTGATGCTTACTCACTTTGCGACTACAGGGAAATCACATAACCTCACCCAACCATGGTATCCCCTCTTTTTAAAAAAATATTTATTTATTTTTTCATTTTACTTTAAGTTTTGGGATTCATGTGTAGAACACGCAGGTTTGTTACATAGTTACACATGTGCCATGGTGGTTTGCTACACCTATCAACCCATCACCTAGGTTTTAAGCCCCACATGCAGTAGGTATTTGTCCTAATGCTCTCCCTCCCCCTGCCCCCCACCCCCCGACAGGCCCCAGTGTGTGATGTACCCCTCCCTGTGTCCATATGATAGACTGGATAAAGAAAATGTGGCACATATACACCATGGAATGCTATGCAGCCATAAAAAATGAGTTCCTTTCCTTTGCAGGGACGTGGATGAAGCTGGAAGCCATTATTCTCAGCAAACTAACACAGGAACCGAAAACCAAACACCACATGTTCTTCCTCACAGGTATCCCCTCTTTGTAAGCATAAGAGATAGATCTGTTTGGGTGACATACAATAACAAAATACCAGTTTAAGTCTTCAGAATAGTACTATGGAATGAATACTATTATTCTTCCCATTTTACAATTGAGAACAACATAGAGGTGCAGAGAGGTGAAACTGACCCAAGGTTTCCCAGGCTGTAAGCAGCAGAGCTGAGGATTGAAACCCTCATTGCCTGGCTCCCGAGGCCACACTCTCTTAGTTTCAATTCTTTACAGCTTCCCACAAATAATATGAATTGAATGAAACATATTTCAAGGCAAACACATATTGCTTATGAAAGAATAATGTGATGTATGTGGTAGATGCTTAACATTGCTTGGGAAAATTTTTCTTTTCTGTTGCAGGTATATGGCTATAAGCAGCAATAGAAATTTCTGCTTCCATGAAGCTATTTTTTTAAAGGGCTATTTTGGTCATAAGCCATGTAAGCACATACGTGCTTTTGAATTGTCTGATAAAGAATGTTCATACTTTAATTTGGCTCACAGACATGATTTGGGGTATTTAATAGGCTCTTCAATGGAGTCTAATAACTTTTTATATTTTTTTGAGATGGAGTCTCACTCTGTCACCCAGGCTGGAGTGCAGTGCTATGATCTCAGCTCACTGCAACCTCCACTTCCTGGGCTCAAGCAATTCTCCTGACTCAGTCTCCTGAGTAGCTGAGATTACAGGTGCCCACTATCACGCCTGGCTAATTGTTGTATTTTTAGTAGAGAGGGGGTTTCATCATGTTGGCCAGGCTGGTTTTGAACTCCTGACCTCAAATGATCCGCCCGCCTCGGCCTCCGTAAGTGCTGAGATTATAGGCCTGAGCCATGGCACCTGGCAAATAACTTGATCTTAGAAGGGATATTTGCTGGTCCACTTCATGATTCTGAATTTTAATAATAATGGTCACAGAAAACTAGTCATTCTCTTGTGTTCTTGAAGTGTCATGATCAGCCAGTTTAGGAAGCTAGTTTTGTGTGATATTGTTCTTTCTCATATATTTTCTATCAAAAGTATGTAATGTAATTTACAGGTTTATTTTGCCAAGGTTGAGGACGTGCTCTGGAAAAAAAGACACAAGTCACGGTAGGATCTGTGGCCAACACTTTTTCCAAAGAGAGTTTAGAGGGCTTCAATATTTAAAGGGAAAAAAGGAAAAAAGAGAGAGGGTATGTAGTAAAGTAAGTGGTCACATGCTTGTGAGGCTTTGATTAAAGCTCACTGAATCCACATGTTGTGTGTGGAAGGAGGAGATAGAGGAACAGTCAATTATGCATTTGTCCAATGCTCAGTAAATCTGCAATTTACATAAGATAAAGTAAACATGGAGTAGAGAAAGAAGTCAAATATGCCTTTGTCTCAGGGTGGGTAGAGGAAAGTTTTCTAGTCTTGTCTTTGTCCCATACTTGTGAAGAAAAGCTGTTAACTTACCTTGTCAGGGTTACGGAGGCCACCTGGGAGATATGTGGCCTTCTATCTTGCAGCTATCTGTTCAGGAACAAAAGAAAAGGCAGTTTTCTGCATGACTCAGTGTCCACACTTAAAGTTTTCCCTTTGGCACAGTGAGTTTGGGGTCCCAAGATTTTGTTTTCCTTTCACAAGTTACATATAAAAACATTTCTTTTTATTTTTAATGTCAGTTGCTAACATAATATGATTATTAACCCAACATTTTTCAAAAGAACCAGCTTTTGGTTTTGTTGATTTTCTTTAATGATTTCCTGATTTAATTTCCATTGATTTCTGCTTCAATTTTTTAATTATTTCTCTTGTCCTGCTTACTTTGGATTTAACTTGCTTTTTTTCTAGTTTCCTAATGGAAACTTAGGTGATTGATCTTAAATCTTTCTCTTTTTCTAATAGTCAGTGCTACGCATTTCCCTTCCCTATAAGCACTGCCTTCAACTGCATTCCACAAATTTTAAGTCTAATTTTTATTTTCGTTTAGTTCAAACTATTTTTATGTTGTCTTGAGATTTATTCTTTGACCCAGGTGTTATTTGGAAGTATTCTGTTTAATGTCCAAGTTCTTTAGGGTTTTCCACCTATCTTTCTATTATCAATTTCTAGTTGAATTCCACTGTGGTCTGAGCACAGATATTGTATGGTTTCTCTTCTTTTAAATTTGTTAAGGTGTTTTTTATGGCCCAGAATATGCTCTATCTTGATGAATGTTCCATGTGAATTTAAGAAGAATGGATATTCTGCTGTTGTTAGAGGAAGTAGTCTATAGATTTTCATTATATCCAGGTGATGATATTGTTACTTTATGTCTTTACTAATTTTCTGCCTGCTAGATCCGCCCATTTCTGGTAAAGAGGGGTTGAAGTCTCTGATTATAATAGTGGATTCATTTCTCCTTGAAGTTCTGTCAGCTTTGCCTCACATAGTTTGAAGCTCTGTTGCTAGGCACATACATGTTTAGGATTTCTATGTCTGCTTGATGGATTAACTGTTTATCATTATATAATGCCCATCTTTATCCCTGATAGCTTTCTGTGCTCTGAAGTCTGCTCTGCCTGAAATTAATATAGCTACTTTTGCTTTTTTTAAATTAGTGTTAGCATAGTATATTTTCTCCACCCATTTAATTTCAATATTTAAGTGTTTTTTTAATTTAAAATAAGCTTCTTATCAACAATATATAGTTGAGTCTTGTTTTTCTGATCCACACTAAAAATCTCTATCTTTTAATTAGTACATTTAGACGATTGACATAAAAAGTGATTACCGATATAGTTGAATTAATATCTACCATATTTGTTACCGTTTCTATTCATTGCCCTTGTCCTTTGTTCCTGTTTATAAATAAGCATGAGAATAGGTGGACTCAGTAAAGTAGATTTCCCTCCCCAATGTAAGTGGGCATCATGCAATCCATTGAGGGTCTGAAGGGAACAAAAAGGTAAAGGAAGGAGGAATTTTCTCCTTTTATCTTCCTACCTGCCTACTTGTACTGGGACATCAATCTTCTCCTGCACTTGGACAGGGATTTACATCATCAGCTCCCCTGGTCAGTTTTCAGATTTAGACTAGAATTATACCACCAGCTTTCCTGAATCTCCAGTTTGCAGATGACAGATTACGGATTTCTCAGCCTCCAAAACTGTGTGATCAAATTTATCATAACAAATCTCAATCTCTTTTTGTTCCTGTCAATATCTCAATACACACACGCACACACACACGTATGTATATATATATATGTGAGTGTATGTATATACTATCAATTCTATTTCTTTTCTTTTCTTTTCTTTTTTCTTTTTTGAGACAGAGTCTTCGCTCTGCCACCAGGCTAGAGTGCAGTGGTGAGACCTTGGCTCACTGCAGCCTCTGCCTCCCAGGTTCAAGCAATTCTCCTGCCTCAGCCTCCTGAGTAGCTGGGACTACAGGCGTGTGCCACCATGGCCAGCTAATTTTTGTATTTTTAATAGAGACGGGGTTTCACCATGTCGGCCGGGATGGTCTCGATTTCTTGACCTCGTGATCTGCCTGCCTCGGCCTCCCAAAGTGCTGGGACTATAGAAGTGAGCCTCCGTGCCCGGCCTATCAATTCTATTTCTCTGGAAAATCCTAATACACATAGTTTCTGATAAGTTAGATATTCTTCTTATTTTTGCTCTTTTTTTTTCTTCTGACTTCTTTTAAGATTTTTTCTTTATCTTTGATTTTCTATAGTTTGAAAATGCTACACCTAGGTGTGTTACAGTAGCTAGTTAGCGAGACATGAACAGGGCAGGAAAGGGATTCCTCCACCACTCACCAGGAATGTCAGGTGACCATCAGGTGATGGTTCAGCAGTTATCACACTGTGTCTCTAAAAATGATAATTGGCAGCGGGCACTAGGGAGAGGCAATTTCCTGAACAGATAAAAACACTTGAAATTGATAATCACCTTTCAATAGCATCTTAGGAATCGGGTGAATAAGTTCGAGCATGCACATTATGAGACAAAATGGCAGAGTGTGGCCTTCGGGGGGCATTCCATCAGAAAAGGGAAGAAAGCCTCAGGTGGGCATGCATACAACTTCCTAAACATGCTGCACATGCCCACCTTCTAAGCGTATGGAGGGCACTGCACGCGTGGGCAGTTCACCCCAGGGGAGGAGAAAGGGAAAGGGGCATAAGACACCAGAAGTGGGCCAGCATATAAAGTCCTAGCATCAAGTTTAAACAGGGCACTTGGCCTCCAAAGAACCCACTTGGGTCTCTTCCAATTGTACTTTCCTTTCTTTCCTGCTCTAAAGCTCTTCTTTTCTTTCTTTCTTTTTTTTTTTTTTTTGAGATGGAGTCTCTCTCTGTCACCCCGGCTGGAGTGCAGTGGTGCTATCTCAGCTCACTGCCAGCTCCGCCTCCCGGGTTCATGCCATTCTCCTGCCTCAGCCTTCCGAGTAGCTGGGACTATAGGCGCCCACCACCATGCCCAGCTAATTTTTTGTATTTTCAGTAGAGACGGGGTTTCACCGTGTTAGCCAGGATGGTCTCGATCTCCTGACCTCGTGATCTGCCAGCCTCGGCCTTCCAAAGTGCTGGGATTACAGGCGTGAGCCACCACGCCCGGCCTTCCTGCTCTAAAGCTTTTCAATCAACTTTCCCTCCTGCTCTGAAACTTGTCTCAGTCTCTTTTTCTGACTTATGTCTCTCCGTCAAATTCTTTCTTCTGAGGAGGCAAGAAGTGAGATTGCTGCAGGCCGGTCAGTAATTCGGATATTTGCCACCCCTAACAGGTGTATTTATCACGCTTGGCATTCTCTGAACTTCCTGGCTGTGATTTGATGTCTGACATTAATTTGTGGAAATTCTCAACGTTATTGTTTGAAATATTTCCTCTGTTCCTTTCTTTCTCATCTTTCAGGTATTTGCATTATGTGTATGTTACACCTTTTATAGTTGTCCCGCAATTCTTGAATATTTTGTTCTGTGTTTTAAAAAGTCTTTTCTTTTTGCTTTTCAGTTTTGGAGGTTTCTACTGAGCTATCCTCAAGTTCAGAAATTCTTTCCTCAGCTATGTCCAGCATGCTAATGAGTCTGTCAAATGCATTCTTCATTTCTGTTACAGTGGTTTTGATTGTTAGCATTTTTTGTTCCTTCTTAAAATTTCCATCTCTCTGTTCACATTACCCATCTGTTCTTGCCTGCTGTCTACCTTACCCATTAGAGCCCTGAGCACAGTAATCATAGTTGTTTTAAATTCCCAGTCTGTTAATTCCAACATCCCTGATTTATCTGAGTCTGGTTCTGATGCTTGCTCTGTCTCTAAGACCTATCGCTGTAAATAGGTCTTTAGTAATGTGGTGGTAAGGTGAGGAGGAGGGAAAGCCTTCTATAGTCTATGATTAGGTTTCAGTCTTTGGTGAGGCTGTGCTTCTGGACTGGGATCAGTGCTTAAATGTGGTTATTGATTAGCCACATTTTTTTGTTCTCTGAAGGTGATTGCATTGTGCTGCTGTATTCTGTCTGTGGACAATGGAAGGACTCAGGCTACTCTTTTCACAGCAAGAAAATCTCATTTCATTTTTGCCTTACAGTTTGGCAAAGTTAGTAAAAATAACATTTTTGAAACCTCATCTAGGTATTTGTTGGATAGTTTTTTATAATCCTACTATGTTATATTTTGGTTTTGTAACGTAAGGAAAAAAATAGTCACATTCAACTCAAGTTGTAAAGAGGTTAGAGTGGCAATAGAAATGAACAGCTATTTTTGCAAAGATACGTTATTTGTGCTCAAGAGTTCTAGAAGTATTAGAACAAGGAATAATGTTGACCAATGGTTCTAGATCAATGATAATGATTTCATAGAAATTTGTGGTATTGTTACTTTGGTTAAGTGACTGTTTAAACAACAGGTTGAGCATCCCTAATCTGGAAATTCAAAATTTGAAATGCTCCAAAATCTGAAACCAACATGATGCCACAAGTACAAAATTCCACACCTGATCTCATACGATGGGTAGGAGTCAAAACGCAAGCTCACTACAAATTTGCTAATTACCTTGATTCCTCTGAAGGAGGGCATTGTTAAAAGGTGAAATTAAGATGAAATTGAATTATCTTATTGTTTATTCACAGTTTATTCAAAGTCCCCAAGGACCAAAAAAAAACCCGTCCAACTCCATTCAGCTACAGTATATCTTTTCTGCACATGTCCAGATTCCCACATGCAAGTGCATCCAAAAAGGGTAATGAACTGGCACATGTGCAAGCCAGGCACAACAATGACGGATTCCCCACGATGGCTCACGTGGGACCAAGACCTATATGGACTACTCCCTGTGTTTTTTGCCTATTCTCTCCTCTGTGGTGCAAAGATACTGTTGAAAATGTCACAAATGTCTGCAGATACCCATAGGGGTAACAGTGATAAGAAAAGAGGAAGCATTTGTGTTTATTGAAAGCACAGAAAGTCATGCTGTTGGTGAAACTAGACAGCAGTGTAAGAGTGAAATATCATATAGAAGAGTATGGTGTTGGAATGACCACTACATATGACCTGAAGAAACAGAAGGACATATTGTTGAAGTTTTATGCTGACAATGATGAACCGAAGTTAATAAACATTAGAAAATCGTATACAGCTAAACATGAAGATCTCAATCGTGTATTGAAAGAGTGGATCTGTCAGGGTTGCAGTGAACATATGCCACTTAATGGTATGCTGATCATGAAACAAGCAAAGATCTATCAAGATGAACTGAGAATAAAAGATAGCTTTGAATATTCAACAGGCTCAGAAAAGACATGGTATTACATTTTTTTTTAAAATTGTGGTGATAAAGCATCTGTTGTTCATGAAGCTGTGAAAAAATTCATTGATGAGTTTGCCAAGATCATTGCTGATGAAAATCTGACACCAGAACAACTCTATAATGCTGATGAAACATCACTGTTTTAGTGTTATTGCCCAAGAAAGACACTGACTAAAGCTGATGAGACAGCTTCTACAAGAATGCCAAAGACAGAATAACTATGCTGGGATGTATGTGCTAATGTGTCAGGCATGCGTAAGAATAAAATCGGTGTAATATGCAAAAGCTTGTGCCTTCTCTGTTTTCAAGAAGTGAATTTCTTACCAGTCTATTATTATGTTAACAAAAAGGCATGGATCACCAGTGACACCTTTTCTGATTGGTTTCACAATCATTTTATACCAGCAGCTTGCTGTCTCTGCAGGGAGGAGGCTGGACTAGATGATAACTGCAAGATTTGTTATTCCTTGACAGCTGTTCTGCTCATCTTTCCGCTGAAATTCTTATCAAAAATAAAGTTTATACTGTGTGCTTTCCTTTAAGTGTGACTTCATTAATTCAGCCATGTGACTAGGCTATCCCTAGATTGATGGAGAATAAACATAAAAAACTTTCTTGAATGAGACTCCAGTTGTTCATTCGTTGACCAATAGTGAAATAGCCAAAAAGATTCTGAATTAAGGTAATGGTGATAATAGCGACAATGAAGATGATGCTGTTAACACTGCAGATAAAGTGTCTATAGACAACATGGTTAAAGTATGTGATGGACGTATTGAAGGACTGGAGCAGCAATGCCTTCATAACAGAACAAGAAATCATGTCCATTTATAAAATCAAAGAGAGATTTCTAAAATAAAAACCATTGTTAATGAGGCAGAAGGCTCTGGAGGAAACATTGTTAAAAGCCATCCAGCAGATTCTCTCATCATCCCTAGAGCACCCAATTCCTGGTGTCTCAACTGCTTCTGATGTTACTTCTCACCTAAAAAAATAAAATACAGTGCACAGTAACCTATTAATCAAAACACAGCATTGTAGGTGGTGGCTGAAAGCCTGCTGTTGTTTGTTGTTGTTGTTGTTTCACAGCTGATACACGTGTTCCGGTGAAGTCACCGGGCTGGTAAGTTACCATGAGCACGTGATTTTTTCAGTGTGTTAATGGTATGTCATATTTTTTACTGTTAAGTACTTACGTATGAATAAGCACAAAAAATGATTGATTATTGGTGGCATGTGAATTTAGAGTCAGGAATAATGATGATGCCTAACAGTCATAGACTGTTCACTTGAGTGGCTGAGATTTGACACCTTTGCTTTTTTTGAATTTTATTTTTATTTTTGTAGAGACAGATTCTCACTATTTGCCCAGGCTAGTCTCAAACTCCTGGGGCTCAAGTGATCCTCTCACCTCAGCCTCCCCAAAGTACTAGGATTACAGGCATAAGCTACCACACCCGGCCTCCTTTCCTTTTGTATATAGTTTGATCCACACAAACTTTGTTTTGTGAACAAAATCATTTAAAATATTGTATAAAATTACCTTCAGTCTATGTGTATAGAGTGTATATGAAACATACAAAAATTTTTTATTTAGACTTGGGTCCCATCTTCAAGATCTCTCATTATGTATATGTAACTATTCCAAAAATCAGAAACAATGCAAAATCAGAAACATTTCTTGTTCCAGGCATTTCAGATAAGGAATATTCAACCTGAATGATACCATAAGATATATTAGGGTATATTTGTATATCATATGTGACATATTGAACGCATATGAGGGCTGTATAAATAATGCTAAACTAGCTTATCTGGGGACACATTTTGTTCCTTTCCATTCATCTTCACTTTGAGGTCTACTAGGAATAGAAGGGCTTCATTTGTAAGGGACAAGTTTTGAAGGATGTTTATTGTCACCATGCTAACAATAATGATTGTAACAATAATTATAAAAATATATTTATGGACATTCGATAAATTCTCTTTTATGCTCTTTTAAAACATCTAAAACCAATTCTGAATAGCATATCAAGAGCTAGAGGCAGTTATCTGAAAGTGAAACTAAAGCAGATTTAGATCCCATTGGATAAAGTCAAGTATTAATGAAGCTCAACATCTTAATTTCTACATCATTAAAACTGTTTATAAAAACATGATGTCTCACATAATACAAATAATATGATGCCACGCTTGATAAAATGGTCAAACTTCAAATTTCTTCCCTTGTATCTGAAAACCAGACAGTAGTAATAGCTTCTTTGGATGTTTGTTTTAGCCACTTTAGAATGATTTAAATGATAAGCTTTCTATTTTGTCATACAAATTTATTTTCAAATTGGACTTTTAACAAAAGCCTCCAGGAGTGTTATGCCAATCCTCCAACTTTACCCTAGTTATCTGATAGGCCACACAATTTCTATCACATGTGGCTTAGCAGAAGGTGAGAGTAATAGCGGTTTAGACTGCGGATAGCTGAAGGCTCCACACAGGCTGAATGAGATAAAACCTGTAATGTCCTGTACACTGTGACTGGTCTAAAGGAAGTGTTCCATAGATGGTTGTTTTTAATGTTATTATGTTTACAATTTTTTTTGGTCCCTAAAGCCTTGGAAAAAAATCCTCCTCATTATAAAATACATAGTCACATATGCACATGGCAAAAGAAAAAAAGCCTTATCTGGCTCTTGCTTCCACAGGGCTTCATTTTCTGTAATTTTTAGATAGAGGTGGTGATTGCAAAACATATGACTAATTGTGGTTGTCATTTAATTGTTCACTTTAAAATTATTAGTTACATTATGTAAATTTCACCTTAAAGTGTTTTAAAACAAAAAATTATAAAACATACAGATTTTCAGCCATTCTAATATTTATCAGTTGTGTTTTTCTTATCTCAATATCTGAGCAATTTTTGAAAAATAGTCTGTCAACTTAATAAAAAAAGGTTCTGCTGTCATTAAGCTCTCACTATTACAGTTATTGTATATTATTGTTTGATTCCATTTTGAAATTTTCATATTTTTATTTTAATTTTGTGTCTACTAAGCCTAACATTATAAACTAATGAAGTTTTCGGGAACAATATATTTGCCATTTTTAATCCTTTTTCTTCAGAATATATTGTTACTATGTTGGTTAGCATATACAAATGCAACATTGTTAAAATATTTTTGTTTAATATAACTTTATATGCAAGTTAACTTGTTTAATATATATTTAAGCAGGAAGCCATCAGTGTTGGGGTGATCAGACCCAACACCAGGTCATGGGGGTGACAAAGTCCTGCGGAGTCAAAGGATTGAGAAAAAGACAGTTTGAGAGAGAAAGCTGGGACCGGGGGCCATCACTATCATGGAGGCTGTGAAGGCCCTGAGCTCTGGGAGCCCATGCTATTTACTGGTAATCCAACAGGTAAACAGGTGGTGAAAATGTGGCGGTCAAAAGGGCAGGTGCATGATCTACAGCTGTGATGGTTCAGCATTTATAAGGAACATGTTCTGCTACTTGAGGTAATGGAAATACAATCGATCTAGGAGCCTAGCAAGGCTAGAAGCAAGGAGTCAGCAAGTCTAAACACGTTCCAGAGGACATTATGCAAGCCCTGCCTCAGTTTCCCTCCCAACACTCAGCTTTTCCTGAACACATCAGTCTGAGCTAGCTCTGTACTTTGAACTCCTACTTAACAAACTGCTATCTTAGTAGGTAAACAAACCAAAACCTAATTAAGGGATATAACAAAGAGCTGAGTTTCAGCCAATCACAAGCAGCCAAGTTTCAACAAATCACATGCAGCCACATTATTCCATCATGCCCAAATTAGGCAAATGCCTAGCTGTAGCCAATCTGGTGATTTACCTACTTTGCTCCTATATCTTGGCTATAAAATCTCACTGATCACACTGCTAGGCAGAGCTCTCTAAGACTATTCTCATTCTGAGTGCTGCCCTATTTATGAATCATTCTTTGTTCAAATAAGCCCTATTAAATCTAATTTGTCTCAGGTTTTTCTTGTGAAAAATACAATAGTAACTTGTTAATCTGTCTAAAATTTTTGTGCCACAGTAGAAATCTCCTTTTTAAATTTTTTTATTTTTATTTTTGTATTTCTACAGGCATGGCTGGCTTTAAATTACCTTTTGGATTTTATTCCGTTTACATTTTAATTTTAAGTGTGTTTCTTATAGACATCAGATTATTGAATTTTGTTCAGTGACTTATGCTTGTTATTAGAGTTTAATTTTTTTACTTTATACGTTTTAAGTGATAGCTTTCTACTACTTCCTTTGCCCTGTTACTTTTTCTTTACTATTTTTTATTCCATTTTATTATGATGGTTCTGCAGTTGATTTGAAACTTTTTATTTTCCATTGAAATGATCATCTGCCAATCTGATTATATATCCTTAACAACATATTTTGACGTAGTTATCATTACTTTTAATATATATTTCAACAGAGTAAGTTAATCTTGAATATCTTTTTGGGTGTGATATGAAACCCAAATTCCATGCTGGCTTTTACCTCTGACATAGTTTGGAGCACTTTAAAAATATTATTTATATTTTGTGCTTCTCAAAATATGATCTAATTAACTGTTTTGTTTGATATTTCTAACCATTTCTTTTCCTAATCTTGCATTCAAGAAGTCCTTAAGTAGATTTCAAGTCCTTGAAATCTTTAATTGTTTTAAACTCTCCATTTATTCTTTTGGGATATTTTTTAGCTGTGAGACATTATAGATAATTTTTTAAGGTTTGCTACCATTTTAAAAATGTACCTCTAGTCTTCAATAGAAAAATTGTCTTTTCTGATTGATTTCCTTGGGAGCCTGCCTTGTGCCTAAAATCTGAGCATCAGGTAATTCTCGTCTATAGTAAGACATAGCTTGTTCCTTGAGGCTTTCAGTCTCCAGAAAAACAAGACAGTCGAAAGACACAGATGGACAAGAACAAGTGTTATCTGCCACATCAGATTGGACTTGACTTACCAAACAATTTCTATTATATGTTACATATTACATACCATTGAGAGGTGAAGCCAGCTGTTTCACTCGCGTCCGTGTGAAGAGACCACCAAACAGGCTTTGTGTGAGTAATAAAGCTTTTTAATCACCTTGGTGCAGGCAGGCTGAGTCCGAAAGGAGAGTCAGGGAAGGGAGATGGGGTGGGGCCGTTTTATAAGATTTGGGTGGGTAAAGGAAAATTACAGTCAAAGGGGGGTTGTTCTCTGGTGGGAAGGAGTGGGGGACACAAGGTGCTCAGTAGGGGAGCTTTTGAGCCAGGATGAGCCAGGAGAAGGAATTTCACAAGATAACGTCATCAGTTAAGGCAGGAACAGGCCATTTTCACTTCTTTTGTGGTGGAATGTCATCAGTTAAGGCAGGAACTGGCCATTTTCACTTCTTTTGTGGTGGAATGTCATCAGTTAAGGCAGGAACTGGCCATCTGGATGTGTACATGCAGGTCACAGGGGATATGATGGCTTAGCTTGGGCTCAGAGGCCTGACATTCCTGTCTTCTTATATAAATAAGAAAAATAAAACAAAATAGTGGTAAAGTGTTGGGATGGTGAAAATTTTTGGGGGTGGTATGGAGAGACAATGGGCGATGTTTCTCAGGGCTGCTTCAAGTGGGATTAGGGGCAGCGTGGGAAGCTAGAGTGGGAGAGATTAAGCTGAAGGAAGATTTTGTGGTAAGGGGTGATATTGTGGGTGATATTGTGGGGTTGTTAGAAGAAACATTTGTCATTTAGAATTATTGGTGATGGCCTGGTTACAGTTTTGTATGAATTGAAAAACTAAATGGAATAAGAGAAAGAGAAAAACAGGTATTAAAAGTCTAAGAATTGGGAGGACCCAGGACATCTAATTAGAGAGTGCCTAAGGAGATTCAGCATAGTCCTGCCAGCAAAGATTATTTATTTACTTTAAGAGTTAAGAGTGGCAGTTTGGGGATAGCACCAGGAGATATCAGCTGTGATGGCTTGGAGAAACAGTGAAAACCAGCAGTGTAAACAAGAGCAGGGCATGTATGAGTAGTTGAGAAAGGTGAATTAGGAGTATGACCAGACAGAAGATAGTAGGGATGACAAGTTTTTTGGGGCACAGTCCAAGTTGGTCTGGTGTCTGGAATGAGACTGGGGCCTAATAAAAAACAGCGTCCATACAGGAGCTCAAATGGGCTGTACCCTGTAGCATTCCGAGGACAGGCCTGAATTCTGAGAAGGGAAAGTGGTAAAAGTATTGTCCAGTCCTTTTTAAGTTGGTGGCTGAGCTTGGTGAGGTGTGTTTTTAAAAGACCATTAGTCTGTTCTACCTTTCCTGAAGACTGAGGACCATAAGGGATATAAAGGTTTCACTGAATACCAAGAGCCTGAAAAAATGCTTGGCTGATTTGACTAATAAAGGCCGGTCTGCTATCAAACTGTATAGAGGTGGGAAGGCCAAACCAAGGAATTATGTCTGACAGAAGGAAAGAAATGACCGTGGTGGCCTTCTCAGACCCTGTAGGAAAGGCCTCTATCCATCCAGTGAAAGTGTCTACCCAGACTAAGAGGTATTTTAGTTTTCTGACTGGGGGCATGTGAGTAAAGTCAATTTGCCAGTCCTGGGCGGGGGCAAATCCCTGAGCTTGATGTGTAGGGAGGGGAGGAGGCCTGAGCAATCCCTGCGGGGTAGTAGAATAGCAGATGGAACACTGAGAAGTAATTTCCTTGAGGATAGATTTCCAGGATGGAAAGGAAATGAGAGGTTCTAAGAGACTGCCTAGTGGCTTGTAACCTACAAGGAAGAGGTTATGAAATTATGACAGAATAGAATGGGCCTGTGAGGCTGGAAGGAGATATTTTCCTTGGTCTAAGAACCATTTGCCTTGTGTGGGAAGAGATTGATAGGTGGAAGTTTCAGCGGAGGAGTAGGTGGGAGCGACCGATGTGAAGGAGAAAAACTAGCCGTGAGGGACAGAAGTTGGAAAGCTAGCTGCTTGTCTAGCCACCTTATCAGCATAAGCGTTGCCTAGAGCAATGGGATCTCACGCCTTTTGATGGCCTTTGCAGTGAATGACTCCAGCTTCCTTTGGAAGTAAAGCAGCCTTGAGCAGAGTTTTTATTAAAGAGGCATTAATGATGGAGGACCTTTGCATAGTGAGGAAACCTCTTTCAGCCCATATAACAACATGGTGGTGCAGAATATGAAAGGCATATTTAGAGTCAGTATAAATATTGATGCATAGTTCTTTTGCAAGAGTGAGGGCTTGAGTTAAGGCAACTAGTTCGGCTTTCTGAGAGGTAGTGGAGGGGGCCACAGCGGTAGCCTCAATGATAGATGTGGATGATACTATAGCATAGCCTGCCTTTGCTGGTGAGTGGCGATTAGACCTTGTGGAACTGCCATCAATAAACCAAATGTGATCAGGGTGAGGAACAGGAAAGAAGGAAATATGGGGAAATGGGGTGAATGTCAGATGGATCAAAGAGATACAGTCATGAAGGTCGGGTGTGGTATCCAGAATAATGTGGGAGGCCGGATTGAAGTTCTTGCCAGGAACAATGGTAATTGTGGGAGACTCAGCAAAGAGTGAGTATAGCTGAAGGAGCCGAGGAGCAGAAAGTATATGTGTCAGGTATGAGGAAGAAAATAGATTTTGGAAGTTATGAGAACTGTAGAGAGTGAGTTGAGCATAGTTTGGGATCTTAAGGGCTTCTAAAAGTATTACGGTGGTGGTGGCTGCCTCACGCAGACTTGAGAGCTAGGCAAAACAGTAAGGTCAAGTTGTTTGGATAAAAAGGCTACAGGGTGCAGTCCCGGTTCTTGTGTAAGAATTCTGACTGCACAGCCCTACACTTCAGCTGTGGGTAATGAAAAGGGTTGGGATGAGTCAGGAAAAGCTAGGGTGTGGGCAGTCTCTAAAGCTGTCTTCAAGGAATGGAAAGAGGAGTGGGGAAAGGATTTAAGATCTATGGGGTCATTTAGGTTCCCTTTTGTGAGTTTATATAATGTTTTTGTTAGGATGGCAAAACCAGGTATCTAAAGTCGAAAGTATCTAACCTTGCCTAGGAAAGAAAGGAGTTGTTTTGTAGAAGATGCTGGGGTTTGAGAGATCAGTTGGACATGAGCGGCAGGGAGAGCACAGGTGTTTCTGTGAGAATTATGCTGAGATAGGTAACAGATGAGGAAGAAATTTGGGCTTGACTGAAGTAATGGGGGCTGTCTGTGAAGCCTTGCAGCAGTACAGCCCAGGTAATTTGCTGAGCCTGATGGGTGTCAGGGTGAGTCCAAGTGAAAGGGAAGAGAGGCTGGGATGAAGTGTGCAAAGGAATAGTACAGAAAGCATGTCTGAGATCCAGAACAGAATAATGGGTTGTGGAGGGAGGTATTGAGGATAGGAGAGTATATGGGTTTGGCACCACAGTGTGGATAGGCAAAACAATTTGGTTGATAAGGCGCAGATCCTGAACTAACCTGTAAAACTTGTCTGGTTTCAGGACAGGAAAAATGGGGGAATTGTAAGGGGAGTTTGTAGGCTTTAAAAGGCCATGCTGTAGCAGGTGAGTGATAACAGACTTTAATCCTTTTAAAGCATGCTGTGGGATGGGATATTGGCATTGAGCGGGGTAAGGTTGATTAGGTTTTAATGAGATGGTAAGGGGTGCATGATTGGTCGTCAAGGAGGGAGTAGAGGTACCCCATACCTGTGGGTTAAGGTGGAGGTATACAAGAGGAAGATGCAAAGGAGGCTTTGGATTGGGAAGAAGGGCAGCAATGAGATGCGGCTGTAGTCCAGGAATAGTCAGGGAAGCAGATAATTTAGTTAAAGTGTCTGGGCCTAATAAGGGAACTGGGCAGGTGGGGATAACTAAAAAGGAGTGCTTAAAAAATATTGTCTAAGTTGGCACCAGAGTTGGGGAGTTTTAAGAGATTTAGAAGCCTGGCCATCAATACCCACAACAGTTATGGAGGCAAGGGAAACAGGCCCTTGAAAAGAAGGTAATGTGGAGTGGGTAGATTTCATATTGATTAAGAAGGGGACAGACTTACCCTCCACTGTGAGAGTTACCCAAAGCTCGGCATCCGTGATGGTCTAGGGGGCTTCCAAGGTGATCGGGCAGTGTCAGTCTTCAGCCACTAAGTCGAGAAGAACTGGGAAGGAGTCAGTCGGAGAGCCTTGGGCCAGAGTTCCAGGGGGTCTAGGAGTGGCTGCCAGGTGAGTTGAACAGTCCGATTTTCAGTGGGGTCCCACACAGATGGGACATGGCTTAGGAGAAATCCCTGGCTGCAGGCATCCCTTGGCCTGGTGGCCAGATTTCTGGCAGTTGGGGCAAGCTCCTGGGGGGAGGCGGGCCTGGAGGAACACCTGGCCACTGCGGTTTAGGCGTTTGGAAGTTCTTGTGTGCTGGAGATGTGGCTGGGGTTTGTCTCACAGTGGAGGCGAGGAATCGCAACTCAGAAATATGTTGCTGCTTGGCTGCCTCTACTCTATTATTGTACACCTTGAAGGCGAGGTTAATTAAGTCCTGTTGTGGGGTTTGAGGGCTGGAATTTAATTTTTGGAGTTTTATTTAATGTCCGGAGCGGATTGGGCAATAAAATGTATATTGAGAATAAGACGGCCTTTTGACCTTTTAGGGTCTAGGGCTGTAAAGCATCCCAGGGTTGCTGCCAAATGAGCCATGAACTGGGCCGGGGTTTTATATTTGATGAAAAAGAGCCTAAATGCTATCCGATTTGGGATAAAGAAAAAGGAGCATTAACCTTGACTATGCCTTTAGCTCCAGCCACCTTTTTAAGAGGAAATTGCTGGGCAGGTGGGGGAGGGCTAGTCGCGGAACGAAACTGTAAGCCGGACCAGGTGTGAGGAGGGGAGGTGATAAAAGGATTATAGGGTGGAGGAGTGGAGGTTGAGGAAGAATTGTGACCTAGCTCGGCCTGGTGAGGAGGGGAGAGGTCAGATGGGTCTGTAGAAAAGGAAGATTAGAAAGACTCAGTGACGCTCGGGGTTGGGACTGAGGGGACAGGCAGGAGGGAAAGAAGGAAGATTTAGGACAAGTTGCACTGGGAACAGAGACTAGGGAGGGACCGATAAGTGAAAGAATGCCTGGACGTCAGGCACCACAGACCGTTTGCCCATTTTACGACAAGAATTATTTAGATCTTGTAGGATGGAAAAAATTGAAAGTGCCATTTTCTGGCTGTTTGGAACCACTGTCAAGTTTGTATTGGGTTCAAGCGGCATTGCAGAAGTAAATAAGGCATTTAGGTTTTAGGTCAGATGTGAGTTGAAGAGGTTTTAGGTTTTGAAGAACACAGGCTAAGGGAGAAGAAGGAGGAATGGAGGGCGGAAGCCTGCCCATAGTGAAGGAGGCAAGCCCAGAGAAAAGAGAGAGTAGAGACACAGAGAGAAGGGGTCGGGGGTTTCTTGCCCCCTAGAAAAGTGGTACTTGCCTCCAAGGTTGAAGGAGAATGGGTTGGGGGGTTCTTGTCCCCCAGAAAAGCAGTACTTGCTGCTAAGGGTGAGGGAGAAGGGGTTGGGGGGTTCTTGCCCACCAGAAAAGTGGTACTTGCCACTAAGGGTGAAGGAGAAGGGGTTGGAGGGGTTCTTGCCCCCCAGAAAAGTGGTACTTGCCACTAAGGGTGCAGGACCAAGGCAGGCGTCCCCATGTGGTCAGACACCTCTGAAACGTGGGTAAATAATCAGGCAGGCGTCCCCACATGATTAAACACCAAGAGAAGACTGTCTTCGAGTCTGTGACTGGTGCCAGAGTTTTGGGTCCATGGATAAAATGAGTCTCCTTCATCTCTACCAGAAAAGGAAAGGAACAGAAATTAAGAGAAGGGAGAGATTGAAGTGTGGTGCCAAGAATGAAAGGAGAAAGCGGTTGAGGGATAGTGAGAGAGGTTGGAGAAGAGAGTAAAAAGAAGCCGCTTACCAGATTTAAAGTTGGTGAGATGTTCCTTGGGCTGGTTGGTCTGAGGACCAGAGGTCGTAGGTGGATCTTTCTCATGGAACAAAGAGCAGGAGGACAGGGGATTGCTCTCCCAAGGGAGGTCCCCCGATCCAAGTCATAGCACCAAATTTCACTCGTGTTCGTGTGAAGAGACCACCAAACAGGCTTTGTGTGAGGAATAAAGCTTTTTAATCACCTGGGGGCAGGCGGGCTGAGTCCAAAAAGAGAGTCAGTGAAGGGAGATAGGGATGGGGCGGTTTTATAAGATTTGGGTAGGTAAAGGAAAATTATAGTCAAAAGGGGGTTGTTCTCTGGCGGGAAGGAGTGGGGGTCACAAGGTACTCAGTAGGGGAGCTTCTGAGCCAGGATGAGCTAGGAGAAGGA
This sequence comes from Homo sapiens, assembly GCF_000001405.40. Lineage (NCBI taxonomy): Eukaryota > Metazoa > Chordata > Mammalia > Primates > Hominidae > Homo > Homo sapiens. The sequence continues at coordinate 30,056,237 of NC_000012.12, read as the reverse complement.
ATTTCACAAGATAATGTCATCAGTTAAGGCAGGAACAGGCCATTTTCACTCCTTTTGTGGTGGAATGTCATCAGTTAAGGCAGGAACTGGCCATCTGGATGCGTATGTGCAGGTCACAGGGGATATGATGGCTTAGCTTGGGCTCAGAGGCCTGACAAGCTGGACTTCCTGGGTCGAGTAGGGACTTGGAGAACTTTTCTGTCCAGCTAGAGAATTGTAAATGCACCAGTCAGCACTCTAAAAACTCACCAATCAGCACTGTGTCTAGCTAAAGGATTGTAAATGCACCAATCACCACTCCGTAAAAACGCACCAGTCAGCGCTCTGTGTCTAGCTAAAGGATTGTAAATGCACCAGCAACGCTCTGTAAAATGGACCAATCAGCACTCTGTAAAATGGACCAATCAGTAGGACATGGGTGGGGCCAAATAAGGGAATAAAAGCTGGCCACCCAAGCCAACAGTGGGCAACTCACTCTGGTCCCCTTCCGCATGGTGGAAGCTTAGTTCTTTTGCTCTTCACAATAAATCTTGCTGCGGCTCACTCTTTGGGTCCGTACTAACTTTATGAGCTGTAACACTCACCGTGAGGGTCTGTGGCTTCATTCCTGAAGTCAGCGAGGCCACCAGCTCATGGGGAGGAACAAACAACTCTGGACGCACCACCTTTAAGAGCTGTAATATTCACTGCGAAGGTCTGCAGCTTCACTCCTGAAGTCAGTGAGACCACGAACCCACTGGAAGGAAGAAACTCCGGACACATCTAAACATCTGAAGGAACAAACTCCGGACACACCATCTTTAAGAGCTGTAACACTCAGCGCGAGGGTCTGCGGCTTCATTCTTGAAGTCAGTGAGACCAAGAACCCACTGGAAGGAACCAATTCCAGACACACCATCAGTAAGGAAGTGCCTGCCTTGCTGTTCTTTGATCTCTGACTCACTGCTTTCCAAACTGTGACATCTTAGCTGCCAAATAAATTTGGTTATGATTTCTTCTCATCTGGTGGCCTGAAAAAATATTATTGCTTTTGTGAAATTATGGCAAAATTAATACTTCGGGTCATTCATTTGCCAGACCTTACTTTTAACTCCCAAGAATACAGACATACACACTTTATAAAAGTAATAGCATTTCAACTGGGTGTCGTGGCTCATGCCTGTAATCCCAGGACTTTGGGAGGCTGAGATGGGCAGATCACGAGGTCAGGAGATTGAGACCATCCTGGCCAACGTGGTGAAACCTCTTCTCTACTAAAAATACAAAATTAGCTGGGTGTGGTGGCACACGCTGGTAATCCCTATTACTTGGGAGGCTGAGGCAGGAGAATTACTTGAACCCAGGAGGCAGAGATTGCAGTGAGCCAAGATGGTGCCACTGCACTCCAGCCTGGCAACAGAGCGAGACTCTGTCAAAAAACAAACAAACAAAAGTAATAGTATTTCTCAGCAGAGGGCTCTCATGAAAATTTTATCCATTGACTTCTCTATAGCAGTCTCTCTAAATGTATGTACTCAGGCAATGCATTCTATAGAAACCAATCCAAAATATCCCATTAATTACATCTTCATCTTTCTCTCCTTTCTTCTCAAGACCTCATATTATTCTGCTCTTTTGTTTCAAACTTTTAAAATGTGACAAGTAGGTGCTGGGATGCATTTCAATGAGGATTGTCCCCAAATGGATTTTCATATTCCTTCAAGATCTCCGTATTAGAATTTGATGTCTTGACGTTCTATAAAATTTGATGTCTTGACGTTCTATAAGATTATATTTAATTCACTACCTGTGAAAGGTTGACAATTTGCTTGCATTTCTATGTCTTTTGGTACTCTGATTATTCTCAGTTTGGATTTTGTTGGTTTGTTCCTGAGTTCTGTGATTTCTTTTTCTCTGTCATTAGCTGTGTAACTTAGCTGTGCTTTCACTTGCTCTGTTAGTCTGTTTTTACCGTCATAATTTCTTCCTTCAGGATGTTGGTTTTGCTCCTACTGGACTGCTCTGATATGTGACATCTTTTATAGGATTTATAAATTTCACACAAGTTTTTATAGCGTTTTTTGTAATCTGTTTTGGTAATCTTTTAAGTATTCAGAGTAAATTACTCTACAATCATGTAAAGTCATTTTCAGGTGATCGGTGTTTTTCTAGTTTTTTTTTTTTGTCCCTGTAGTAGTTGCCCTACTACTAAAACAAGGGTTTTCAAAAATCTAACTTGTGTTCTAGGGTAGCTTGTTGACATTTGCTGCTGTTGCTGTGTTTTCCTGTTTCTAGTTGTATCATCTTGTGTGTTTCTCTCTGGATTTCCTTCTTTCTTGGATTTTCTCTTTTTTTGCACTTAGCTAGGAGGAAGTAGCTTGTCACCTGTTTGTCTATTCTTTTCAAAACTTTCTTTCTTTTGCCTTAGCTGAACTGGGAGACTGGGGGAAACTATTGAGTCATGTTTATGTGAGAAGGCAAAGAGTGTCCTTCACCCCAATTCATCTTTCCCTCATGTTCATCTCAGATGCATTATTCTAGAATAATTCTCCATACTATAGGACTTAACCAAAAGAGTTGTGATAATAATAATGGCAATAGTAATTGTGATAATTTGTATACACATAGGAATTCTACAAGTGTAGAGTGCTTTCCCAACTGTTACCTATTTTTTAACCTTGCAAAGCCCTTGGGTGTTTAGTGGGATGGGCAAATGGTTTCCAAATTTACAAATGAGCAAACTTAGTCCAAGAGGTTCAGTGACTTGCTGTTAGTCATATAGCATTGTCAGTCCTTGAACTTTGCTATCCTGGCTATAAAATTTGAAATCATTCTACTATCACATCCTAACTTTTAAGTTAATGCTACAGCTTTTAATTAAGCAGAAAAGATTCTCTCTTCCTCCAGTGAGATAGATTAATGTTACTCTAAGAGCATCTTCCTGACCCTTTGAAGTCGTGCTGAGTTGATAACTGATCTCACTGCTCACTTATAAGTGGGACACTCGGAAGACCAGCAGCATGAGTACTTCCTAAAAAGAGTTAACAGCATAACTTAGATGGAGTTTATGTTCCCAAAAGTTTGGATGACTTTTGGAACTTGCGTTCTTAATTTTGATCAGTTAGCCTGTCGAACCACACAGGGGACCACTACTAATCAAGAACAATTATTCAAAATATGCTAGTGACAAGAATCATTTCATCTTTCACATTTCTGTTTTATCTCAAGCAGCCAACTGTAGGCTGTCAGCATTTCCACATGTTTGATCAATAACTTTTCCAAGCTGTAGTGAATAGAGCATGCTGATTAATTGAATGACATGACATTGAATTATAAGTGTGTCTACTTTCCAGTTGTGTAGAAAACCGTAATGAAAAGTTAAAGGATAAAGGAGTCATTGTATTTTGGTTAGAGCAAAAGTGAAAGGCAGTCTACAAATTAACAACCTGCAAGGAATAACTGCTGTCTCTGAACAACTTCCTCCTGCCTACAGAAGCCGCCAGGGTTCCATCATCTTACTACTTGTCCAGGCCAAAATACCTGGCAATCATGTTGACTACTGTCACTTCTTCACACCTGCCACAGTCAAGCAATCACCGGGACCTATAGTTTTGATTTTTTAATTTCTCTAGAATTTCACCCCTTATCCCCTTCCCCACTGCCAACACCTTAGTGAAGGCCCTCATCCTGTCTCACCTGGATTACTGCAAATATCTTCCTAACTGGTCTCCCTGCCCCAGCTCTTGTCCCTCTGCAGATCCATCTCCACACTGCTGCCACTTGATTTTTCTAATTGGCTTAAAATACTAAGTGATTTCATGTAACCTTTAGGGTAGAGATTAATATTTCTTGGCAAGGTATGTGATTGTAATCTGGCCTTTGCTGATCTTTTCAGGCTCATCTCTTGACACAACTCCTCCCTTGCCCTTCCTCTTTACCACTAGGCACTATCCATCCTAAATTATTTTCAGTGTCCCAAATATACCAAGGTCCATCCTGCTCAAAGCTGTTTCATGAGCTTCTTCCTTTTCTGGGAACATCCTTTCTTTTACTCCTAGCAACTGCTGCTTCTCTGTTGCTTCCAGGACTTCTTGCCTGAACTTTCTTATCATATGTCACTTGCTCTGTCAGAGTAGCAGCATTTATATTTCTGTGAATATTAATCTTTAAAAACTGGACTCTTAGACACTTAACAGTGGGAAGCTCAGATGAAAAACAAACAAACAAAAATCTTGAGTTAATTATGATCCTGCAAAATGTTGGAGCCAGCAGTAGACAACACAATTCAGCAGTTTTACAGACAGACGCGAACGTTGTGTGTAACATGGCCAATCTCCGCCTCCTTGTGATTGAGGGAGAATGTAAGTAGTGTGGTATATGCTTGATGGAAGATGTTCTGCCTTTTTTAATATTGAAAACGTTGTCTTTTGTATCTAAATAAATGGATACAATTGGATCCATGGGGAAAGAACATAAGGACCTCCCTTAATACTGTGTTATATTTTTGAAATATAGTGTGGATGAGGAGATGGAATAGATTTGCTTAAGTGGGTGGATCTGTTTCTGCTCTAGAGAAATATAAGAAATGGCTTGTGCTATTTTGTAGGAAAACAACAGGATAGGAAATGACAGGAAATACTATTTACTGAGAAAGCATTCACCACTTTTCCTTGGAAAAAAGCTTTCCCCTGACTTTCCATTTTCTATTGATGATGTCACAGAGACTCGAACCCTCATATTTTCTTTGTGACTGCTTTACTGGCTTCACTCTACCAGAAACAACTGCTCACAGGACACATCTGGCCCCCATGTCTTTTTGTAAGGCCCCCAAAATTGTTTTTACATTTTTAAATGGTTGAAAAACTCTAGAGAAGGATAATATTTCATGACATGTGAGAACTGTATAAAATCCAGACATTAGTATCCATAAATGAAGTTCTGTTGGAATACAGACATGCTCATTCATTTACATATTATCTATGGCTGCTTTCACGACGCAGCAGCAGAGCTGAGGAATCGCGACAGAGACCATGTGGCCTGCAAAGCCTAAAATATTTACTCTCTGGCCCTTTACAGAAAAAAATTTGCCAAGCCCCTGCTTTAAGTCTTAGTAGACTGTAAGCTCCTTGAGCCTAGGTATTGTATCTTTCTAACATTTACATCTTAAGGAACCTGTAACAGGCTGCTTAGCACGTAGTAACTTCTCAATAAACGTTTGAAGAAAAATAACATTCAAAAAATAATACAGTACAAAATGAGTTTCTCCTTTTCCCTGCAGCAACTAACCCAGGGCCTTTACTAGGAGGGTCTCAGTACACGCTTTTTTGAATTGAGATTATTCTCCTGTTTAAATCAGTGCTTTTCAAACTTCACCATGAATCAGAATCACCTGGAGGACTTGATAAAGCACTGATTTCTGGGCCTCACACCTATGAATGTGTGGTTCTAAAATGTACCCAGGTGGTGATGCTGATGCTGCTGGTCCCTGGACCAGTACATCCTGGGCTTGGGCCTGGGAATCTGTGTATCTAACAAGATGCTTAACTGTTTCTGGGATTTCTAGAGTCACCCCTTTGGGGATCCATGAGTAGAACAACATCCTCTAAGATATGAGTGCAGCTCTGTATTCATATAGTTAGTGCTGTATTCACAGAAGTAATCTTGTTTGCTCTTTTAGTTTTAAAACTCACATGACACAGTGTTAGGGTGGATTATTCATTTTTTAAAATCTTCAATCCTAGAAATGAAAGGAAATCAAGATAAGGTGAAGAGGAGATCAGTTGCCTCTGCAGAAGGTGTCTGAGAAGGAGATGTTGAAGGTAACAAACTTTGTCTCTGGATAATGGATCAGAAGTTGGAAAATACTGATCCAATGTAATTGGTTTTTTACTTCTTTAAGAAAATGACATAATCCTACGTATTATGTTTCCATTAAAATCTTCAACTGCTGAGAAGCCTACGGAAGTTGAGGAGAAAATCCTTTTCTTCAAAAATTGGAACATAATGGCAAAAATAGTTCTCATAATGACAAGAATGCCAGGATTTAGTGAACACTGTGTAAAGCTCTTAATTTAAAATTGTATTTCTTGCTGTGTGAGGCTCTAACAAAACTTTTCAGCTGTGTCGTTCTCTATTGGCTGTGATGTTAAAGGCGATTCTATGCTCATTGTCAACTCCTGTCAGTCCTGACTGAGTGCCAGGGAAGCTCAAGTTCACCTGGACTGCACTGCTAAATGAACAGCCAGGGTCTAGGTAGGGACCTTCACAGAAGCAATACTTGACACAACATATTCCCTGTCCATTCTCCATAAGAATTAAGAAGTAGGAATGAGAAGCCACATGATGCAGTGAAGAGAGAATGGATTTGGAGCCAGACAACCTAGTGTTACATGGGACCCTGCTGTGTGCTTGGAGTGACCTTGAGAAAGTCACAACAACCTCTTTTGGCTGTTTCCTCCACTGTAAAATTTAAGGGGTTTTGTTGGTATCAGATGATTCTTATACGAAAGTGCTTTGTAAACCAGAAAACATGGGACCCACTTACTGCATTGTTTAATAGATAAACAAGATTCATTTCTAGAAGTCTGGAGGCCTGGGCCTGATGCTGAGTGTATATTAGTACAAGGTTGCTGAAGGAAAACAGAGAGAAAAGAAATATATAGATTTAAAATAAATGTTAAATGCTTTATAGAGCAGAACAAGACTCTATGTAAGAAATGAACCAACTATACGTTTTGCAGAGGGGCTCACTTGCTTTTTGGTAAGTGTGTGGTTTAGAATTTCTTAGATGTAGAAGTTTATTTCACGTTGGCCAGGCTGGTCTCAAACTCCTGAACTCCAGCAATCTGCCTGCTCTGGAAGGATCGCAGGTACTTTTGCAGAAATGTAGACAATAAGGTGACCTCAGCAAGAGCAAAAGTACAGACTTGAAGTATTTCCAAACTTGAAGGGATTATTTTAATATTGTGGTTCTATTGAGAAGAAAGGTGCTGATAGTAACTTTCTTTGGTTGGTCTTGGAGAAGGTTACTGACAAGATAATGAGTTGCCAAGGATGTTCATGAGCAGAAAGCAAGTGAGACCTGCATCAACCTATTGCAGCTGGTGCCAGGTGAGATCTGGAGGCCCTTTAAAGCATCTGTGCTAACACTTGGAGTGGTGAGGGCAAAAACAGAGGGCAGCCTAGGCAGGCAGGTCAGATCGCCAATGCCTGGTGAGCAGAGCAGAAGGAGCTGGGGCAGGGTGAGCTGCTGCATGCTGGTCTTAAAGCTATTTGAAATTGAGGCTGGTGTCCTTGACAAAGTAGACAATGTGCTCCCCCATAAAGAAGCAAGCTTATAAAATATATCAACCTACTACGTCTTTATAGAAACAAAGGGTTTATAAGTGAAAGAATCACAAGGATCTTTTGATTTTGAGCAGCAATATTCTTATCTATAGCAAACAATTACTGCTTGAATGTTTTAAAATGTACTTGCATATGTACCTATCACAGGCATATTCATATGACAAGGAAATATTTATTTTGGGCTTCTGTTATTTCTTCACTGAAAAGTTTTCTCAAAGGCAAAACAACAGAGCTCTGATTATCTTTTTGAATTTAATTCATTCTGGATTTTTAATGTTTATTTTCTTGATTAAAATGATTTGAATTTAAGGGGGCCAGACAATTTAATTAAGTGCCAGTGGATGAATGCCAACTGTCCCACAGTTTCATCCTCCCTTTTCCTTTCATGTATTTTTGTTGTGAATTTCTTTAGTTTTTTTCTGACTAACCAACGAAAATGCATGACTAAATCGTTTATGCTTAATTCCTGGCTTATTTTTGCTGTATATTCTGTTTTGTTGGCAATATATTTTAATGGCTTTCTTCCCCTTAGCAGAATTTGTGGTAGAAAATTGCTTTTAAGAAAAAAAAAAAAAAAAAAAAAGACCGGGCAGGACAGAAATTTTAAGCTAATCACTTAGTTTCTGAAATTTTAGCAGAAATAAACAAGTTGATTAGTTTGAAATGTAATTCATAGGCAATGAGTTAAAAAGAAATACTTGAGTTGCTGATTACAGCTAGTTCAAATAGACCCCCTGAAATGTAATTCACTCTTGGAGTGATTCCAAATGGCTTCTGTATTAGTCAGGCTTCTCCAGAGAAAAAGAACCTACAGGATATATAGAGAGACATGTAAGAGGACATTTATCATGCAAATTGGCTGATACCATTTTGGAGGCTGAGAAGCCCCACAATATGCCATTTGCAAGCTGGAGAACCAGGAAAGTCAGTGGTGTAATTCAAGAAGCAAGCTTATAAAATAGATCAACCTACTGTGTCTTCATAGAAACAAAGAGTTTCTATAGGATTTGTGAAGAAACAAAGGGTTTCCCCTTGAGTACTGGGGGAGAGAGGGTGGTTGGTAGAAACTCTGGAGTCTGAAAACCCAAGAACCAGGAGCACCGATGTTCAAGGGCGGGAGGAGATGGATGTCCCAGCTCCAAAAGAGAGAGAGAATACGCCCTTGCTCGCCTTTTTGCTGTATTTGGATAGGAGCCCAGAGGTGATAAAGAACTAGCCAGAACAGAACCCAAATCTTCTGTTTTTTTAAGTGACTCAAATTCCTGAGATCATCAGGAAAACAATGTCTCAACAGATTTTCCTCAACGGATTGGTTCTTGCCCACCCATGTTGGTGACAGCAGATCTTTTTTACTCAGTCTACTGATAGAAATGCCAATATTTTTCAGAAACACCCTGACAAAAACAATCAGAAATAATGTTTTCCCAAATATCTTGTTGTCCCTTAGCCCAGTCAAATTAACACATAAAATTAATCACTGCAGTTTCTATCTGTTTAAATTTTCAAAATTTTCCAAATGCTGTGATCATATTTCAAATAGTACTGAAAGAATTTTTAAGCAACATTAATCTGACATCAAATGCACTGAAAGGTAGGTTGTGTCTTGAATTTTCTCAGCACAGTATACATGTAATGAAAGGGGACATCCATTTGGATAAAGGATATTCCTGTTTCTTCCTAGTATATCTGTATCTCTCTTCCGTTTTTCCCCTAATGTTTTTTTTCCTTTGGATAATTTTTATTATAGATAATTCCAAACATAAACAACAAAAAAAAGAGCAGCATAGTAAGCCTCCAAGTACTCTAATACTTAGCTTCAAGAATTATCAACTCATGACCAATCTTATTTTCTCTATACTCCTACCTATTTCTTCCTTTCTGAAACATTGAGTTATTTTGAAGCAAATTCCAGACATTTAAGTTGTTTCATGTATAAATATTTTAGTTTGATCTCTGAATTACAAGGATTTCTTTAAAAATGTAATCCAACTGCCATTACTACATCTTAAAAAATTGAGATTATTCACTTCATCAAATATCCAACTCAAGCCTCATATAGTTTTTATAGATGTTTATTCAAATCAGGATTTAAACAAGATCTGTATTTTGTATTTGGTCTATATGTCACTTAATTCTCTTGTAATTATAGGTTCCCTTCTCTCTTGCTCTTTTTTTTCCATCACAATATAGTTGTTGGAGAAACTGATCGTTTATTTCTATAGATTTTCCCAGTCTAGATTTTGCTGTTGTATTCTCATGGTTTTATTTAACATCTTGTTCTGTGTCCTGTATTTCTTACAGTCTGGTTTGTAGATCAGGAGGCTTGACCGCAGTCTTCTGGCAAGACTACTCCCTAGATGTTATTCTGAACTCCTGTTAGGAGGCACATATCTGGTTGTCTGTGTCACTTTTTGTAATGTTATTATTGATCATTGGGTTCAGGTGTTGTCAGCCTTACCCATCTATTATAAATCCTCCATAAGTTTTTTACTTTACAAATTCAGTAGCCATTACTCTTGATCCATTGTTTGAAGAAGGGTAGATTATTATTTAAAAAAAACAATTTTTGGGTTCAGGTAATGACTTAATGACAAAACTATGTGGTTTTTCTGAGAGTTTGTTGTGGTTCAACCCTTATCTTTGTAGATTTTAATGCGAACTCACAAGGAATCTTGAATTAACTGGTAGACACATAATATTGGTCTAGATAGTCTGTACAAAAACAAGCCCAGAGTGACCCCTGAGTCAGTGAGGAAAACATAGCTCCAAGTCTAAAAAAAGGTAAGATGTAAAAATAATAATAAAAAACTGGAATCAGTATATACTGCATTATTTATACATTAATATTTTTATAAAGAATAATACCACAGTGAGAAACACTACTGAAACATCCTCACCTTCTGCATCTTTCAATTGATTTAACTCTTAGACTTTGAGGATGGGGGAGTGAATAATCCAATGCATTGATTCCTACCCTGATAATCATTGATGATTTTCCATTGCCCACCCTGGAGGACTAGGAGAAAATGAGAGGAGATCAGGTGGGAAGAGCTGAGAGTAATGATCCAAATCTATAGCTATGTGTGAAGCTGATTCATAGATAAATTGATTGTTAAGTGTGAAAGGTAAGTTAGAATAATCTGGTCTGACATATATCCCAATTCAGGAATCCCTCCCAAAGAATCTCTGTTAGATGCAAATTGACCTGTTTTTACACTCTGCCTTTTTATTTGCTGAACATTCTTATTTTTCACCATTGATTCATGTGTTCTTTGAGGGCAAGGGCTTAGTCTAATTAATCTTTACATTCCTCATAGGGTGTAGTACTGTTTAGCTTACTACAGATGCTTACTAAGCTTGTCCCAACTGATCAAAATTAAATACAGATATTTAATATCTTTTCAGCTGTAAAGGGGGTGGGGGTGGGGCTCTTAGAATGTCTTCCACTTCACCTTAGTGCCTAATCACAGACAGAAGACAGAAATGAGATAAACACTTCAAGCTACCCCTGCTATCCATCAACCTCTGCCTCTGGACTCACTTGCCCTTTCTTACCAGTGATGTCAGGAGTTGATAACACGCTTCTGAAGGCCAGCTATGCCACATGTGGGTTTTATCCCCCTTCCCATACTGACCTATTTAGAATTTTTTAAAAATTCAGTTGAGTTTTCAATTTCAGTATTCCAGATACTATTCAAGTGACCATAACAAGCCCACTAATCTCTCCTTAGCTTTTTCTTATTACAATTGCTGTTTCCAGTGGCCAAATAGGTCGCACATTATGGGAAGCTTAGAGGCCAGTGGGGAGAGGAATTATAGTGGGATGGGAGATACAGGAACCCAGGTCAGAAGTGGCAACCCAGAGGTGCAGATTGTTCCACCAGGCGGACAATTTGGATAAGACAAGTAATGTCAAGGACACATGTGAACCTGGACTTAGTGGGAACTTCAAGGGGTGCCACTGGCTTCTACTGCCATGGGTGACCCAATGGTTAATCCTGCTCCCATTAGCTAAACCACCTTATCATATAGATTTAGTCTCCTTTCCCCGAAGGTCACCATTTTATTCTTAGGGTGATGCATAGACAACTTGCATAAGTTACGGCACTTTCATCCCCAAAGCATCTCATGTTGAAACTACTGTACTGAGGACATCTCCCAGAGTGACACATCACTTACCAATATCAAACCATTCTCTTTTCTGAACCTCTCTTCCTGCTTTCTGAGTACCATGGTGCCTTTTGCCTCCATTTACATATTTTCCCACTAAAATTTCTCACAGGTTTAATTCACATTTTCCTGTTTTACATTAACCACACACACATACTGGATAGCCCACCTCTCCTCCTTGCCCCATCTCTAGTCCAAGCTACCTTTGCTCCTGTGTCTACTTCTGCCTCTTTCTACACATTCGTCACCTAGAGTCACTATTATTCACATAAATTCATGCCCATTCAATCGTATCAGTTCCTTTCAACACCACCACCCAAACCACCACCACCGTGCTCCTTCTGTGGTTTCCAGCTGCTCTTTGGACAAAGCCTCAAACATTTATCTTCATCTACAACTGCATGATCTATTGTGGCTGATTCTTCCATCTCATCTCACAAGGAGCTTTCTGTACTTTGCCCACGCCAGAATTCATTCTCTCTAGTTAGAATGTCCTTTCACTGCTCAGCTCAAATGTCTCTTTCTTAGGGAAGCTTTATTTGATCAAGGTAAGACCCCATCATATGCTCTTATAGAACTTTTTATCTTTTAGCAATTATCTTTGTAACATATTTGCTTGTAAGCAAATTATTTAATATGTGTTTTTAAAAACCCTATGTCTTCTTTTAGTGTACTATTGAATAGTCAGTACCTAACATCGTAACTACTAGATGTACCAAAAAATAATAAATTTATAAATAAATTCACAAATTTAAATGGATCTATTTAATAAATAAATTCTATCTTCCCTTATCTTCCCTTTTATGATAATATTATCAGTTCCAGAAATGTTATTTAATACAAATGAGGTGATTATGAGTTGTGTTTTAATTATTCTCTTTTTCATTCCTACCTCCTGGCCTTCAACTCGTGGTTACTTTTACCACGACTCCATGATACTACCAGCAGGCCATAAATATCCGTCTGTGAGGTGCCATACAGGACCAGTGGGATTTTGCCACCATCCTTCTGTTGGTCATGATGACCTGGTGAAGTCTGCAATGCTTAGCAGCATTCAAGGAGATTTTCTCTAAATGCAAATGAACTCTCTCTACATGTAAAAAGAGATGCTTATAGTCATGTATTAGTCAGCTTGGGCTGCCATAACAATACCACGGCAGGAATTAATTTTCTCATAGTTCTGGAGTCCAAAAGTTTAAGATCAGTATGCCAGCAGGGTTGGTTTCTGGTGAGGTCTCTCCTCCTACCTTGTAGATGACCGCTTTCTTGCTGTGTCCTCAGATAATTTTTTTCTCTGTGCGACACACTCCTGTGTCTCTTCCTCTTCTTATAGAGACATCAGTCATATTGGATTAGTGTCTTATGGCCTCATTTAACCTTAATTACCTCCTGAAAGGCCCTGTTTCCCATTGTGAGTCACACTGGGATTTAAGACACATTGGATTTTGGAGGGACACATTCATTCCAGAACAACTCTTTAACATTTTCCCTAGGGGTCTAGGTCTAAATGGAGTCTACTCTCCTAACTACAAAACTTTTTCTCTTTTGGCTGTCACTGATAGGTAACCCCTATTTTAAAAGGCTCTATTAGTAGTTAAAGGATCACTTTCACTGTAGCATTCTTTTGTCTGTTTATTATCAACTCTAGGAGAATTAGATCAAAACTTTGAAATTAATATATATGCATTATTTTGCAATTGTCTAACTTTTAAGTTAAATATTTGACTTAATATAATGATAACATAATTTTAAGTACTAAAAATAAAGTTAAACAGATACAAATAGAGCAAGAGCAGGGATAAATTTAGAACTAAGATTTGAATAAAAACAATATTTATTTCTGAAAGTTTTGTAAAGTACTTAGAACATCCATACTTAAATGGAACCATAATGTAAATACTTCTGTAAATCTATTTATAAATGGACTTTTTGAAATAATGCTAAAAAACCCATCCTTTAATAAACTCTGTCATACTAATTAGTTATATAAGCCAAAGCTCAAATTTAATTTTCCCAGTAATGCAGACCCTGGCCATTTTATTTAAAATGGATTCATGTTTCTTCTCCCAAAATACCCATCTTCTTTTCATGCTTTTCTTTTTTCAATAACACTTACCATTTTCTGAAATATCATATGATTTGTGTATCTTGTCTACTGTTTGTCTCTTCCAACTAGAATATAAGATCCATGAGGTCAAGGTCTGTGTGTTTTGTTCACTACTAAATCTCCAGCCTCTAGAGCAGTGCTTACCATGTGACAGGCATTCAATATACATTTGCTAAACAAACATAAATTAGCAACGTCAACTATCTGTTCAATGGGATTTGGATAGCCAGATCTTTTCTTTGTGATGTAAGCTAAATATAACTATAAAGTGGTGCATCAGAATCACCTGTGGGGTTTGTTATAGCAGATTGTGGGGACTCCACTCCCAAATTTTCCAGTTCCGTAAATCTGGGGTGACCCTTGAAAATATGCATTTCTAACACATTCCTGGATTTTAATGATTCTGAGAGTAGAGAAGCCACACTTTGAAAAATATTGCTTTAGGGAAACCAACACGCAACAACATCTTGAAATGTTGGGAATAAATATGAATTGTTAACATCTGACTTGAGCTCCTGGTTTGGTACATCTGCTATATTATAATGAACCTGAGGAACACATAGAGTGGAACACTGGACTGCTATGCCATAAGTGGTTTCCTTGACTCCCTCCAGCTAATTAAGTAAAGTAGTGAGTCCCCACAGGCTGTCATCTTGGTCAGGTGTGTTAAATGTGGAACTTTATGATGGCAGCAAACTCACATTCTGGCACGCTTTGGCCCTCCCCAGAGTGTCTTTGTTACCATGATGACTGAATGGAAATTTCTCATTGGAAGGCAATAAGGCTTTGCTTTTGGTGGAATCTTTTTAAAATAATTTCTAATGCAGTGTTTAAAAATAAAGCAAAGTGGCTGGGTGCAGTGGCTAATATCTGTAATCCCAGTACTTTGGGAGGCCAAGGCCAGTGGATCACTTGAGGTCAAACGTTCGAGACCAGCCTGGTCAACATAGTGAAATCCTGTTCCTACTAAAAATACAAAAAAATTAGCTGGGCCTGGTGGTGTGCACCTGTAATCCCAGCTACACGGGAGGCTGAGGCTCAAGAATCGCTTGAACCCGGGAGACAGAGGTTGCAGTGAGCTGAGATCACGCCACTGCACTCCAACCTGGGTGACAGAGTGAGACTCTGACTCAAAAAAACAAAACAACAAAAAACAAAAACACACACACACAAAGAAAGAAAGAAAAGTATTCTTTATTGAGATGGTAAGATTTAGCCCTTCCATGGTGGCTTTCATCCTGAAATTTTGTTGCAAAGATTAACTAATGCTTCAGGCAATCCTTGGAGGCAACTTACATTCTCTGTATTTTGTTTGTTCAAAGGTTGGAGACAGAGGTTTGGCTTCTCTCACATGTTTTTGTGGCCAGATCTCTGTCTTTCATGGTTTATTTATACATTGAAAGAGAGACGAGAATCGGCCCTTAAATGTCAGATTCTCCTGCTAGTTACTAACCTCTGGCAGTGGGTTATTTTTTGCCTCAATTGTTATTTCTGACAATGCTATTTTTCATGTGCAGTGACTAGTTATTAAGGTGATGATTTTAAGAGCTCTATTTTTTATCATCCATTGGGCTAAACTTTTAGGAAAATAAAGGTTCTGCTTTATGGACATTCTTCTGTTTAAAAAAAAGTGAAATATGTGCAAAATTGTCAGCAAAATAAGCACAACTCTTTTGATCTAGAAATTTTTCAGTAATATGTACACTGTGTTTAGTGTATTGGGTTAGATTTATTTTATAATCCTTAAAATTTTTGAGAAGGTGGGGAATCCATTACCAGAAAGACCTTCTTTTATTGGATGAGAAAGCACATACATAGAGTCTTGAAGATTAGACAAAATGTTTCTTTCATTCTCAATCCTATCAAATTCGCCTTGACCAATGAAGTCTTTCTCTCTCTTTCCTTCACTTAATATTTGTTGTGAGCCTACTGTGGGCTAGGTACTTGTCTAATTGCTGGGATAAGAGCATTGGGTAAAATAAAGATTCTAGCCTCATGAGTTTGGATTATAGTGGAGGGGAATAATCAATAAAGAAAACTCTATATATGTGTCTCAGAATTAAGTGCTGATAAATGATTTAGAGATGTCAAGACAGGGCTCTCAAGATGACACTTGGCACAAGTCCAGAAGGAAGTGTGGGAATGAGTCATTTGGATACATGTGGGGAAGGGTATTCCGGGCAGAGGGAAAGTGCCAGTGCTCTGAAGAAGCAGCATGGCTGACATAGTCAAGGAGCAAGAGGGAGATGATGGCTGAAGCAGAGTGTCAGGGGTAGAGTGGTACTCAATGAAGGCAGAAGGATACAGGAATGGGAAAAGAAATGAAGAGCCAGTCTCCTCATTTTTTTAACTCCTCCAAAATCAATAGAATTGTTAACATAAGCTGGATATTGAAATGGTAGATTTTTGATTGTTACAAGATAGCCAGGTACCAGCCACTGCAAAATCATGCCAAAATGTAAAGACCATCGAGACTAGGAAGAAACTGCATCAACTAATGAGCAAAATAACCAGCTGACATCACAATGACAGGATCAAATTCACACATAACAATATTAACTTTAAATGTAAATGGACTAAATGCTCCAATTGAAAGACACAAACTGGCAAATTGGATAAAGAGTCAAGACCCATCAGTGTGCTGTATTCAGGAAACCCATCTCATGTGCAGAGACACACATAGGCTCAAAATAAAGGGATGGAGGAAGATCTACCAAGCAAATGGAAAACAAAAAAAAGCAGGGGTTGCAATCCTAGTCTCTGATAAAACAGACTTTAAACGAACAAAGATCAAAAGAGACAAAGAAGGCCATTACATAATGGTAAAGGGATCAATTCAACAAGAAGAGCTAAATATCCTAAATAACTACCCAGATTCATAAAGCAAGTCCTTAGAGACCTACAAAGAGACTTAGACTCCCACACAATGATAACGGGAGACTTTAACACCCCACTGTCAACGTTAGACAGATCAACGAGACAGAAAGTTAACAAGGATATCCAGGAATTGAACTCAGCTTTGCACCAAGTGGACCTAATAGACATCTACAGAACTCTCCACCACAAATCAACAGAATATACATTTTTTTCAGCACCATACCACACCTATTCCAAAATTGACCACATATTCGGAAGTAAAGCTCTCTTCAGCAAATGTAAAAGAACAGAAATTATAACAAACTGTCTCTCAGAACACAGTGCAATCAAACTAGAACTCAGGATTAAGAAACTCACTCAAAACTGCTCAACTACATGGAAACTGAACAACCTGCTCCTGAATGACTACTGGGTACATAACGAAATGAACGCAGAAATAAAGATATTCTTTGAAACCAACGAGAACAAAGACACAACATACCAGAATCTCTGACACATTCAAAGCAGTGTGTACAGGGAAATTTATAGCACTAAATGCCCACAAGAGAAAGCAGGAAAGATCCAAAATTGATACCCTAACATCACAATTAAAAGAACTAGAAAAGCAAGAGCAAACACATTCAAAAGCTAGCAGAAGGCAAGAAAGAACTAAAATCAGAGCAGAACTGAAGGAAATAGAGACACAAAAAACCCTTCAAAAAATTAATGAATCCAGGAGCTGGTTTTTTGAAAGGATCAACAAAATTGATAGACCGCTAGCAAGACTAATAAAGAAAAAAAGAGAAGAATCAAATAGATGCAATAAAAAATGATAAAGGGGATATCACCACCGATCCCACAGAAATACAAACTACCATCAGAGAATACTACAAACACCTCTACGCAAATAAACTAGAAAATCTAGAAGAAATGGATAAATTCCTCGACACATATACTCTCCCAAGACTAAACCAGGAAGAAGTTGAATCTCTGAATAGACCAATAACAGGCTCTGAAATTGTGGCAATAATCAATCGTTTACCAACCAAAAAGAGTCCAGGACCAGATGGATTCACAGCCGAATTCCACCAGAGGTACAAGGAGGAGCTGGTACCATTCCTTCTGAAACTATTCCAATCAATAGAAAAAGAGGGAATCCTCCCTAACTCATTTTATGAGGCCAGCATCATCCTGATACCAAAGCTGGGCAGAGACACAATCAAAAAAGAGAATTTTAGACCAATATCCTTGATGAACATTGATGCAAAAATCCTCAATAAAATACTGGCAAACCAAATCCAGCAGCACGTCAAAAAGCTTATCCACCATGATCAAGTGGGCTTCATCCCTGGGATGCAAGGCTGGTTCAATACATGCAAATCAATAAATGTAATCCAGCATATAAACAGAACCAAAGACAAAAACCACATGATTATCTCAATAGATGCAGAAAAGGCCCTTGACCAAATTTAACAACCATTCATGCTAAAAACTCTCAATAAATTAGGTATTGATGGGACGTGTTTCAAAATAATAAGAGCTATCTATGACAAACCCACAGCCAATATCATAATGAATGGGCAAAAACTGGAAGCATTCCCTTTGAAAACTGGCACAAGACAGGGATGCCCTCTCTCACCACTCCTATTCAACATAGTGTTGGAAATTCTGCCCAGGTCAATCAGGCAGGAGAAGGAAATAAAGGGTATTCAATTAGGAAAAGAGAAAGTCAAATTGTCCCTGTTTGCAGACGACATGATTGTATATCTAGAAAACCCCATTGTCTCAGCCCAAAATCTCCTTAAGCTGATAAGCAACTTCAGCAAAGTCTCAGGATACAAAATCAATGTACAAAAATCACAAGCATTCTTATATACCAATAACAGACGAACAGAGAGCCAAATCATGAGTGAACTCCCATTCACAATTGCTTCAAAAGAATAAAATACTTAGGAATCCAACTTACAAGGGACGTGAAGGACCTCTTCAAGGAGAACTACAAACCACTGCTCAATGAAATAAAAGAGGATACAAACAAATGGAAGAACATTCCATGCTCATGGGTAGGAAGACTCAATATCATGAAAATGGCCATACTGCCCAAGGTTAATTGATAGATTCAATGCCATCCCCATCAAGCTACCAATGACTTTCTTCACAGAATTGGAAAAACCTACTTTAAAGTTCATATGGAACCAAAAAAGAGCCCACATAACCAAGTCAATCCTAAGCCAAAAGAACAAAGCTGGAGGCATCATGCTACCTGACTTCAACCTATACTACAAGGCTACAGTAACCAGCATGGTACTGGTACCAAAACAGAGATATAGATCAATGGAACAGAACAGAGCCCTCAGAAATAACGCAGCATATCTATAACTATCTGATCTTTGACAAACCTGAGAAAAACAAGCAAGGGGGAAAGGATTCCCTATTTAATAAATGGTGGTGGGAAAACTGGCTAGCCATACGGAGAAAGCTGAAACTGGATCCCTTCCTTACACCTTATACAAAAATTAATTCAAGACAGATTAAAGACTTAAACGTTAGACCTAAAACCATAAAAACCCTAGAAGAAAACCTAGGCAATACCATTCAGGACATAGGCATGGGCAAGGACTTCATGTCTAAAACACCAAAAGCAATGACAACAAAAGCCAACATTGACAAATGGGATCTAATTCAACTAAAGAGCTTCTGCACAGCAAAAGAAACTACCATCAGAGTGAACAGGCAAACTACAAAATGGGAGAAAATTTTCGCAACCTACTCATCTGACAAAGGGCTAATATCCAGAATCTACAATGAACTCAAACAAATTTACAAGAAAAAAACAAACAACCCCATCAAAAAGTGAGCAAAGGACATGAACAGACACTTCTCAAAAGAAGACATTTATGCAGCCAAAAGACACATGAAAAAATGCTCATCATCACTGACCATGAGAGAAATGCAAATCAAAACCACAGTGAGATACCATCTCACACCAGTTAGAATGGCAATCATTAAAAAGTCAGGAAACAACAGGTGCTGGAGAGGATGTGGAGAAATAGGAACACTTTTACACTGTTGGTGGGACTGTAAACTAGTTCAACCATTGTGGAAGTCAGTGTGGCGATTCCTCAGGGATCTAGAACTAGAAATACCATTTGACCCAGCCATCCCATTACTGGGTATATACCCAAAGGACTATAAATCATGCTGCTATAAAGACACATGCACACGTATGTTTATTGTGGCACTATTCACAATAGCAAAGACTTGGAACCAACCCAAATGTCCAACAATGCTATCATTAATCCAGTCTATCTGGATTAAGAAAATGTGGCACATATACACCATGGAATACTATGCAGCCATAAAAAATGATGAGTTCATGTCCTTTGTAGGGACATGGATGAAATTGGAAATCATCATTCTCAGTAAACTATCGGAAGGACAAAAAACCAAACACCGCATGTTCTCACTCATAGGTGGGAATTGAACAATGAGAACACATGGACACAGGAAGGGGAACATCACACTCTGGAGACTGTTTTGGGGTGGGGGAGGGGGGAGGGATAGCATTAGGAGATATACCTAATGCTAAATGACGAGTTAATGGGTGCAGCACACCAGTATGGCACACGTATACATATGTAACTAACCTGCACATTGTGCACATGTACCCTAAAACTTGAAGTATAATAATAATAAAAATAAATAAATAAAATAAAATAAAATAAAATAAAATAAAGATAGCCAGGAAGAGGCCCTTACAAGAAACAAGTTAGTCACACCTTGATTTTGGATTTCCAGTTTCTAGAACTGTGAGAAGTAAATGTTTTGTAAGCCACATAGTCTATGATATTTTGTTATGACACCACAAGCAGACTAATATATCATATACATATTTTTCCTGGATTCTATATTCTGTTCTCTGATCAATTTGACTATTCCTAAACTGATAAGATATTGAATCAATTATTATTTATTATAAATGATGATATCTGTTAAACTGAATTCCCCTTGATTCATATAAATATTAGTTTCACAGAAAAAAAACCCTTTGGTATTTTTAATGAAATCATATTGAATCTGAATATCAATTTGGGGAACACTGTCCTTAAAAATATTGAAATTTCAAATCCATGAACATGGTATATGTTGTAATTAAGCCTTCTCTGTTGTATTTCAATAAAGCTTTGCCATTCTATTCATAGAACAAAAAAGATATTGTCCATGATTGGGTCGAAGAACTAACTATGTTAGCTTTTCTCTGGAAACAGTTGCAGATTGATTATAGGGATTGTTTCTAATTTGTATCATTTCTTCATAGCATTAGAAATTTAAGACCTCAAGCTCAGCTTCTTACTTGTCGCAAAACAGCTCCATGCTGCATCTCTAGAAACTGTGCCCTTTAGCGGGAATAACAATGAGAATTTGGGTACAGAATTTGGCTTATTCCATACTTCTCCGTCAGATCCTCCTCCTATACCCATTCTACATGCACTAAGACTGAATTCAAGCATGTATTACATTGTGTAAAACAGTAATTTAGGAATTTAGATTTTGGTTGTGTTCTTTGTAAGCAATACTTTTTAAAATGAACTAATTTGCTGTTGACTATTAGGATTAGAATAATCACTCCATTGGAATGTCTGTACTATGGTGATAAAGGGAAATTAAAGATATAAAAGTTGATTATTCCATTTTCTTCTACCAGCAGTTAATATTTATACCCCATGAGGACCATAGTCTGAACATGCACTAGGGATTTTCTTTATGACTCTTGCAGATTTAAGCTGGTCTAGCCATGTTGATTTGCAATAAATAGTGACATAAATCATGAAAATAGCCACTGTAATTTTGATTGGGAAAATTAATGTCGTTGGATCTATTTTTATAGTTTGCTATTGCCTACGTCATTGAATGTGGCTTCCCTGCACAACAAGAAGAAACAGAATTAACTTTCACTTATGAGTAATTTATTTGGTGTTGGTTTTCATTACAGTCTCACATGGTGTCTTGGGTTTTTTTCATTATTATGTATTTTACAATCATGGGTGTACTTGTAAATGGAGAGCCTTGGGTGGGTTAGGGGTAGAAGAGAAGACCTGTCTTGCCTTATAAAGACCAAAACAATGTCCTTTACTCATGGTATGAGGCAGTGAAGTCCCCCTTGGAAAAGTGATTTGAAGGCTTTTTTTCCTAGTAGAGGTGAACATCTGTCCAAATCCATGCATCCATCCATCCATCCATCAATCCACCCATCCATCCATTCATTCAATCATCCATTTATCCATCCATCTATTCATCTTCTTTCACATCATTCCCTTCATAACTAGCACAAATCGTTAGCTATAGCTTTGGCACTGGGGAAACAAGCCAATTATTATGTCCATGTGGGGACAAATCTGCAGCTTGACCAATGGAGGGGACCACTAGCAACAATGTAGTGGAAATGGTAGGTGGAGGTTGGGTGCAGCTAATACATCTCCTCACTTAAAGAGGTGGCTTTGTCATCTCATGGATTTCTCTTCATGCCAGTTCTCAGTCTTGTCATTAATTTGCCTCCACACTGGTTCATGTCACAGCCTCCCAGCAATTTTCTCTCCAGAAGATCAGACTGGCACATGGAGGTAGTCAGACAAACATTCCTCTCAATACACACATGCAAGAACATACATGCATACACAAGTAATACAATTACATTGTTTACCTTTGTATTTATATCCGTACCTCACTGCAAAATGGATTTGGAGTGGGTTAGAAAAATGCCTATAGAATAATAGAATAGACTATTGTATGACCAAAGACATGCAGAATGAAACTGGACATTGATGTTGCCAGGAAGACACCTTGTATTTGGATCTAATATATTAAAGGTTTATATATTTTTATGGCATGTAGGATACTTTGTAGTACTTCTAAATTGCAGAATAAGCCATTGGGAAACCTGATAGAATAAATACCATATTTTAAGAAAAAAAAGGTCTTACCTAGGGAAAGAGAATGAATATATTTTCCACATTTTGTAGTGATGGTTCCATGACAAAGTTGATAATATTTTCCGTTCCAGCCTATGTTCCTCTGCAATTCCCTCACTATCCAAGAACCACACTTTGTATTTTGTAACATCAGTTAACAAAAATTATTTCCATGCTATTACATGTAGAGCTTTTATAGTTTATACATCAGTCGGCCCAGGTGCTGTGTCATGTAACGACTCTTATCGTATAGAAAGCTGTGACCAGGACTTGTCATTGTCAGGTCATCTACAACCACCATTGCCTTGGGCATTGTAATTGTTACTGTGTCTCTGGACTAGGCTTCAATGAGGCCTCTTGGTTTCATGCTTAGCCAGCTCACTGCTGTTTTTCTCTACCTAGCTCAGACTCAGTTGACTTCTCCATCTGCCGGTCTATCATTTATGTGATTAACTTTCTGCTCTGTTATTGATACATTCTCCTATTAGTAGTTACTGCATATTCCAAAGCTGAAGTTATTTTAAATCATTTTTGGTGGGGTAGACTTGACTCTGTTGGAAAATATAGAACATAGATTTGCATCTTATCTTAAAAGAGATCATATCTGAAGATTTTACATCATTGCCCATCCAAAATAGTGTTTATGTCATGTTTTGCTATGTGATACAAATCGTCACTTGCCTTTTCTATGATACTCTCACTTTAAATCCATGACCACAGACTTCATGTGGGCCCTTGGTACTCCCTTGATACCCTGCCCATTGCCTTGGCCCACTCACTCTCCTTCGTTCTTAGACAATAATTTCATCCCTTCTTAATCTCCAACATATATCACTCTTAGGTGATGATTTTCCTTTCTTTTTCACAAAAATATAAATAATCAAAATGGGACATTCACAAACTCTCACCACCAAATGTCCCAGCTCACCTGCATCTGGACCATGCATTCTCCTTCCTCTTGTGTGCTACAGCCCATTCCCTCTCACTTACTCAAACGTCATGCATCATTGCTTTTCTTGCACTTATTGAGTCGTGACTATTAGCATACAAGCATGCTGCAATATCTTACACTTGTAAAAACCACCCTTTGGTCTCACATCATCCTTCAACTACCACCTCATATCTAATTTCCACTTTTACAGAAAAACTTCACAATTATTGTATATATATATATTGCCTTCATACCTCTCATTCCCTTCTTTTATTGTCCAGGCAGGCTCTCTTTTCACCACTCCATGAAAGTAACTTTACTGAAGTGACCAGCCATCTCATTTTCAAATCCAGTGGCCAATTCTCAGCCTCCTTTTGACCCTTCAGGATTATTAGCCTCAGCTCACTTTTCCTTTTTCTTTGAGACACTTCCTTCCCTTGTCTTCACTGTCCACTTAGGTTTCGTTTGGGCCTCACTGGACACCTTTTTTCAGTAGCATCCTCATTTTCCTGAATTCTAAATTCAACAGTAACACAGAACAATAGCACCCCAGGGTCCATGGGCTTCTAACCTCTCAATGATCTTCTCTCTCTCTCTCTCTCTGAGGATCTCATGTAGTCTCAGGGCTTTAAATATCATCTACGCAGTGTCAGTCTCAACATTGATGTCTTTAGTTCAGACTTCTCCCCTTAACTCCCGATTCATATCTAACTGCTTACATTCCATCTCCTATTACATATAAAATATGTATCTCAAATTTGCTATATTCAGAACTGAACTTCTGATTCCCACTACCCAAACCTGTAATTACCAGGCCAATTGTTCTAGTTTTTCAGATCAAAAATTGTAGATTGTCATAGACTTCCATTTATCTAACTTAATACATTTAATCCATCATTAATCCTCTTGACTGTTTTTAAAAATACATTCTGTCTTTCAACCTCCATCACTGTCACCCTATTTCAAGTCACCATCATTTCTTGCCTGAGACAGTTTTCTAAAGTGGTTGATCTACATTA
Source organism: Homo sapiens (assembly GCF_000001405.40). NCBI lineage: Eukaryota > Metazoa > Chordata > Mammalia > Primates > Hominidae > Homo > Homo sapiens. Next base: position 30,031,859 of record NC_000012.12, on the reverse strand, counting down.
CATCTCCACAGCAATGTAGGAGAGTTGCAGTTTCTCCAAATCCTAATCCTAATCAATATTTGCTATTATCAATCATTTTCATTTTAGCTAATCTAGTGGGTTTGAAGTGGCATGTCATTGTAATTTTCATTTTCATTATCATTAATGATGTTGATCAGGTTTCCCATGCCACCCTCCTGATACTCCTTATCTGCTCTCTCTCTCTGTTTTTTTCATTATACTTCTCACCTTGTCACATGATGAAAAATTGACTTACTATATTTATTGCTAATTTTTGACTCCCTGACAATCTCCCTTCCCAGCTAGATTGTTGTCAGGGAATTTTTCTCTCTATTCCTTGTTAATGTATCCTAGAGAACCTAGAATAGAACCTGGCATTTATTTGCTATTGGATGTGTATTTCTTGGGAGGATAGAGGATAAATCATTAGTGGTTCTATATTACTAGGAGCACTATTGCTGGAAATAGGAAAGTTTTCAAGAAGATTCACACAGAAGTGAGGTGGAAGGGTTTTGTCCACTATTTCCATTAATCATTCATTCCCCCTTATGTTTTCTGTGTCTCCCATGGACAGAGACCAGCGTCTCAGTAGCATGACTAGTTGCAGTTAGCAGCTACATATGTAGCTGTATGTGCTGAACCATATGGTAGTTCTGAGAACTTGATGGAAATGAAAAATTACCATAAAACTGGCAAAGAATTCAAGGAAAGCAGGCAGCTTTTATGGGAGTGGGAGGAATATACATATGCAGGGCAGTGCCTCTGCAGGAAGCAAAAAAGAAAAAAAAAAGAAAAAAGAAAACCAGTGGAAAATTATAAGACAAAGTACTCGATTTTATGTTAAGTGTAGTAAATAAAGCTAGAATAAGCCCTACTAGCTGCCTTGAGGAGTTTGGTTTTCCCTACTTGCCTTTCATCCACTCCACTATGAGTAGGATCTAAACATGCCACTCCCCTGCCAAGAGATAGTCATGATTCCTTTGTTTTCGATTCCATATTCCTTAGCAGAGCATTCAGGGCCTTCACTGGTTGGTCCCAACCATCTTTCCAGTTTCAGTTCTGGTTATTTCCTTTCATTTACCCAACCTTGCAGCAACACAGAAGTTCCAGGTTTTGAGCTCTTTCTTACCTGGACTTTTCATTTCAAGTCTACTTGTCTTCTCTTTGCTCCATTGGCATAAAATTTTTCTACCCTCCTCCCTTACATCTACAGACATACATACACACACACACACACACACACACACACACACACACTTCTGTATTTAGTAAAATCCAGCTTGTTTTATGAGACCTGATTCCAGTGTCCTTTCTTGTTGCAACACTTCCTTGATTTAAGCAAAATGAATTTCTTCCCTTCCTGTCCTGTTATGATACCTAATATGATATTAATACTTATTAATAGGACTTAATACAGTCCTATTTGGATTTTAGTTTTGTTTATGCATATCACCATCAAATGAAGCTGGAAACCATAATTCTCAGCAAACCAACACAAGAACAGAAAACCAAACACCGCATATTCTCAGTCATAAATGGGAGTTGAACAGTGAGAACACATGGACACAGGGAGGGTAACATCACATACCAGGGCCTGTTGGGGGTTGGGGGACTAGGGGAGGGATAGCATTAGGAGAAATACCTAATGTATATGAAGGGTTGATGGGTGCAGCAAACCACCATGGCACGTGTATACCTATGTAATAAACCTGCACGTTCTGCACACGTGTCCTAGAAATTAAAGTATAGTTTAAAGATATGAATTCCGAGCCTAAGCGGTAGAGTCATAGCCATGTTTTTGTCTACTCCTTACATATAGTGAGTGCTTGTTAAATGTTATTGTATTGAAATAAAACTAAATAGAAAATAATGACTCATCTTGCCTTGTACTTAGAAGATGCTGAATAGATTTTTAAAATTAAACTACAATAACAATAAAATACATTTTGACATAGAGTGACTGCATCCTATGCAAGTTTATACAAATTCAACATACCAGATCCATTTTTTAACCAAATGCAGAAATAAAAGAGAAAGAGAGGGAACAAAATAACAACTTAAATAGTGTGGGTAACTTTGTTGCTATTGCCCTTAGTGAAGGCAACCCTGGGAGAGGGCAGGAGGTGAGAGATATGGAATTGTCCTTCTCTTAGTCAATTTTAGTTCCTGTGAGCCCTCAAAGTATAAGCAGGATTCTAGTGTTTAAAGATATGCATTTTTCATAAAACATGACCTCTGAGAAGAAAGCCAATTCCTGTATTTTATTTGATATAGCCATGTGTTCCAGATCTAGAGGGCGAGGTATCTCTTTGGGGCATCTTTACATATGGCCTGTCCCCCTCCACCATCAAGCTTTCTAATAGGGTTTCAAGAGTACTTTTGACTCTACATGATTTTGCTTTATTTGCTGACTTTTGAACTTAACTCCCATACAAGGTATCACTCCACAGTAACCTGTAAGCATCATAGTACCAAGTGCAGGCCACATTTCTGGTAGAATATGTAAATTTATGGTCTGTTTGACTTAAAAGGTAATGGAAAAAGTAGATGGCTCTGAGTAGGGTAACAGATAGTTAACACTTATGAGAGAGGAATACCCAAGAAAGACTCAGCTACACATGGTGGCTAACACCTGTAATCCCAGTGACTTGGGAGGCCCAAGTGAGAGGATTGCTTGAAGCCAAAGTTTGAGACCACCTGGACAATATAGGGAGACCCCATCTGTAAAATAATAATGTTGAAAAGTAAAGATTCAATCATTGTACTTATTCCCATTGTGGCAAAGAATGTAGATGGATATCCTAATAAAGGTCTCTAAGTGAATAATGATTTCTTGCATAGAAAATGGTGACCAGCTGTTCTTCTCCCTGAGTTCTAAACAGAAGGAAATGTTTAAAAGGATGCATGGAAGATTTATCTCAGACACAGAAAAGATTTTCTGTCTGCCAGACACTGAGATAACTTCTTCAGAGAAGTTATAGAATCTCCTAATGTGGAAACTTTTCTTTTTAACCTCATTGTGTCTGGGATAGTTTATGTCAACATTTTTCAAAGTATGTTTCAGCACTTTCTGGACTGTTAAGAAAAGTTTTCCAAAGTATTCTGTTATAAAATATATATTTAAAATATAGTTAAAAAAGGTAAGCAGATTTTTTTTAACTGAAGTGTTTCACAGGGCCTTCACTATGGTCTCTGCTTTGTGCATTTCTGATGGAGGTAGGGGCATGTACAGTGAAAGCATTTCTAAAATCAACTTGATTCTATAACCCATTTTTCTAGAGGCATCTTTTGGGATTGGTGTTCTGTGTGACATTTTTGAGCTATGTTGATATTTGAAGGTAGTAGATAAATTAGTGGACTTTAGTGCAATGTTTGAAAATTTTCTCACTTGCATATTCCTGCTTTCAAAAACAACAACACAAAACTCCATGCAGATATCACTTTTTAAAGAGTCACCTAAATAAAAATTTCTTTGGAACCATATATCTTCTAGTTTTAGACGTTTCCAGTGAGCTGCAGTGGAGTGACAACAGTTAGTGTTCAGGACCAGAAATGAATGGAAAGATAATTCTCATTTTGGTTTCTGAGTACGTTACTTTTGATACCAGGAGTAGAGGCAGAAGTTATAATTATAAACAAGCACAGCTTTTTTTTTTCTACAGTAATGATTGTGGCTCTGCAGACTCACAATAAAGTGAGAGGCAACTCCAAGGCCATTCATGAGATGCTATAATAGGCAGAGGAGAGTTTTACTCTCTATTATATTACATGGTAGCTTCTCCACGAAAAGCCAAAGGTTCACCTTATATACTCTTCACATACTTATTATTACTGTAGTAAGCTTTCAAGTTCTTGAGTAAATCTTTTAAGAACTACACAAACGTACCTGGAAAGATACATTGAATAGAAGTTCTCTCAGTATCTGTTTAACTCTCAATTTGAAATGAGGCCAAAAGAGTAAATAGAAGGTACAGTGAGGGAAGAAACACACACAAATGAGATGGTATATTGTCTGTGTGGTCATTTACTTTAACACTATGTTGAAAGTGTGTGAAATAAGTTATCTTTAATAAAGTGCACTTTAGAGGCATTTAGCTAGCATGTGAAGTACCCAAATCAAGTCTGTGCTCCTTTGGGATCTAAATTAACCTAGATTATTTAGAGAAACTGTGTGTGTGTGTGTGTGTGTGTGTGTGAGAGAGAGAGAGAGAGAGAGAGAGAGAGAGAGAGATTTTAAGGAACTGGCTCACATGATTTTAGGAGCTGGCAAGTTTGAAATTTTTAGGACAGACTGGAAATTCAGACAAGGAGGGACTCTATGTTGCAGGGTTGAGGCAGAATTACTTCTTCCTCAGGAAACTTTAGTCTTCGCTATTAAGGTCTTCAATTGATTGGATGAGGCAAACCTACTTTATGGAGGGTAATCTTCTTTAAAGTCTACTAATTATAAATGTTAATCACATCTAAAAAATAACTTCACAGTAACATCTAGACAGGCATTTGACCAAACCACTGGACAGCATAGGCTAGCCGAAATGACACATGAAATTAATCATCACAGAGTCTACACGAGCACTTCCAATCCATCCCAGAGTATGTTCCTCAGTAGGAAGGTTGTTAGAAAATAATCTTATATTATTGAAATAAGTACTGGGCAAACCAAGCAATTGACTGGCAAGAGTGTACCGGCACCATAGCCCTTAAAAGAGAAAGGCCCAGCAGCCTTATAGATATAGAGCTGGAGCTCAGATTTGACTAGAAGGCGAGCTGGTACTGCCTCAGAGTACTGGACAATCTCAGAGTGAATCTGTCATTCAAGATTCTTGTAAGAGAGCCTGAAGGCAGAGCAGGCTGACAAGAGCTTACAAGAGCTTGCTCTTGAGCTTACAAAAGCAGGTGGTATAGGACTTTTTGTATCTACTTGCTAATAAATGTTTCCATTCCAGCAGAATTTTGTCTAAGACTTTCTTTCATTCTTATATCTCAACTGACTCATGGCCAGAGGCTACAGGTTTCACAAAGGCATTGGCCTTTTGCAGATGGTCAAATTGGCTTATCTTGGTTCACAACAGGAGAACTTTGGTATTCTATATTAAAAAGTGACTCATTGGAAGGAATGCTGGGGATTTCCTGTCTATTCCAGTTCACTACAGTCTTTTTTTTTTTTTTTTTTTTTGGATGATTTGGGTCATTCTTCTCACTCCTATAGATTTAGGTCTTCACTATGTACTAAATATCTTTATGTAGAAATAATTGAATGCCGAGAGTTGTGGGAGAAACAGTCTTACCCTATTTTTTCCTGCGTCTGAAACTCTTAAAGTTCTTAGAGGGATTTTCTAGGAAAGAAATAACTGTCAACTAGTAATTAATGTGTTAGGTGTTCACTCTTTAATACAATTTTAAGACTCATATGAATTGTGAAAAACTTCTTTTTTATATATGTTTAAGAGATGTAAGTTGATAAAAGGCAGTCCTTTTAAAGATGCATTTTTAATGTCATGAAACAGTGAAAATAGGTGTATGGATGTCTGAATTCAGAAAAATAAAGATACAGTCATGTGTGGCTTAATGACAAGAATATGTTCTAAGGAATATGTTGTTAGGTGATTTTGTCCTTGTGCTATCATCATAGAGCGGACTTACACAAACCTAGGTAGTAGAGAGCTTACTACACACCCAGGCTATATAGTTAATATGGTTTGGCTGTGTCCCCCACTAAGTTTCATCTTGAACTGTAGCTCCCATAATCCCCAAGTGTCATGGGACGGACCCAGTGGGAGGTAACTGAATCATGGGGGCAGGTTTTTCCAGTGTTGTTCTTGTGATAGTGAATAAATCTCACAAGATCTGATAGTTTTATAAAGGGCAGTTCCCCTGCACAGGCTCTCTTGCCTGTCACCATGTAAGACATGCCTTTGCTCCCCCTTTGACTTCTACCATGATTGTGAGGCCTCCCCAGCCATGTGGAAGTGTGAATCAATTAAACCTCTTTTTCTTTATAAATTACCTAGTCTCAGCTATTTCTACATAACAGTATGAAAATGGACTAATACAGTAAACTGGTACCAGTAGAATGGGGTACTGCTATTAAGATACCCAAAAATGTGGAAGCAACTTTGGAACTAAGTAACAGGCAGAGGTTGGAGAAGTTTGGAGGGCTCAGAAGAAGACAGGAAGATGTGGGAAAGTTTGGAATTTCCTAGAGGCTTATTGAATGACTTTGACCAAAATGCTGATAGTGATATGAACAGTAAGGTCCAGGCTGAGGTGATTTCAGATGGAGATGTGGAACTTGTTGGGAACTGGAACAAAGGTCACTCTTGCTCCACAAAGAGACTGGTGGCACTTTGCCCCCACCCTGGAAATCTGTGGAACTTTACACTTGAGAGAGATGATTTAAGGTATCTGGGGGGAAAGTTTTCTAAGCAGCAAAGCATTCAAGAGGAAGCAGTGCATAAAAGTTTGGAAAATTTGCAGGCTGCTGATGCAACAGAAAAGAAAACCCCATTTCCTGGGGAGAAATTCAAGCTTGCTGCAGAAATTTGCATAAGTAAAGAGGAGCCAAATGTTAATTGCCAAGACAACGCGGAAAATGTTCCCAGGGCCTCTCAGAGACCTTTATGGTAGACCCTCCCATCATAGGCCTGGAAGCCTAGGAGAAAAAGAATGGTTTCCTGGGCTGGACCCTGTGCCCCCCTGCTCTTTGCAGCCTTGTGATGTGGTGTTCTGCATCCCAGCTGCTTCATCTCCAGCAGTGGCTAAAAGGGGCCAAGGTACAGCTTGGGCCATTATTTCAGAGGGTGCAAGGCCCAAGCCTTGGTGGCTTACACATGGTGTTGGGCCTGCTGGTTCACAGAAGGCAAGAATTCAGGTTTGGGAACATTCACATAGATTTCAGAGGATGTATGGAAATGCCTCAATGTCCAGCCAGAAGTTTGCTGCAGAGGTGAAGCCCTCATGGAGAATTTCTGCTAGGGCAGTGCAGAAGGGAAATGTGGGGTCAGAGACCTCACATAGAGTCCCCACTGGGGCACTGCCTAGTAGAGCTGTGAGAAGAAGGCCACTGTCCTCCAGACCCCAAAATTGTAGATCCATTGACAGGTTACAACATGCAGCTGGAAAAGCCACAGACACTCAATGCCAGCTCATGAAAACAGCCAGGAGCGGGGCTGTACCCAGTAAAGCCACAGAGATGGAGCTGCCCATGGCTGTGGAAGCCCACCTCTTGCATCGTTGTGACCTGGATGTGAGACATGGAGTCAAAGGAGATCATTTTGAATCTTTATGGTTTAATGACTGTCCTATTGGATTTCAGACTTGCATGGGGCCTGTTCCCCCATCATTTTGGCCAATCCAATTTCTTTCTATTGGAATGGGTGTATTTACCCAATGCCTGTACCCCCATTGTATCTAGGAAGTAATTAGCTTGCTTTTGATTTTACAGGCTCATAGGCGGGTGAATGCTGGAATGAATTAAGACTTGGGGGACTGTTGGGAAGGCATGATTGGTTTCAAAATGTGAGGACATGAGATTTGGGAGGGGCCAGGGGCAGAATGATATGGTTTGGCTATGTCCCCACCCAAATCTCACCTTGAGTTGTAGCTCTCATAATTCCCACATGTTGTGGGAGTTAATTGAATCATGGGGGCAGATTTTTCCCATGCTATTCCCATGATAGTGGATAAGTCTCACAAGATCTGATGGTTTTATAAAGGACAGCTCTCCTGCACACACTCTTTTGCCTGCCACCATGTAAGATGTGTCTTTGCTCCTCCTTCTCCTTCCACCATGATTGTGAGGCCTCCCCAGCCATGTGGAACTGTGAGTCCATTAAACTTCTTTTTCTTTATAAATTACCCAGTCTCAGGTATTTCTTCATAGCAGTATGAAAATAGACTAATATTATAGTAGAGCCTATTGCTCCTAGGCTACACACCTGCACTGCATGTTACTGCACTGAATCCTGTAGGCCATTTTAACACAATGGTATTTGCTTATTTAAACATGTATAAACATGAGAAAGATACAGTAAAAATACAGTATTATAATCTTGAGGGAGCACCATCATACATGTGGTCTGTCACTTACTAAAGTCCCATTATGTGGCACATGATTGTATTTGAGACATTTTAAAACACAGGATCTTTTCTTTATTTTATTAGTCTGTTAACATTTCCTGTCTAAGCATTAGAATGCAGGTATTTGAGGGCACAATTAAAAGTGGAGAGACTATTCATTCAAGTGAGTTTATTTTGAAAATAGCTTTTTAACTACTTCTTAAGCACCTAAGCAATCCATCATACTTTATCACCATGTACTTAGAAGTAGGAAAGTAGATCTTGTCCAAAGAGATACACTATATTTTGATTTACGAGATACTTTACTTTTGGATAATACTTTGATTCATAATAGGAATCAACTACACTATTAATAGTAGTTCCCTGCAAAGCTCAGTTATACAAATAAATCTCCCACATTTTTCTGAGCAGCTAAGATAGATGCTTAGCAGATTTATTGTTTCTTTCATACAATGTGTCCTGGAAGTAAACCAGAAATTTCTCTGCAAGTTTGTTGAATAAAGCTTGCTGAATTCTTATCTGCCTTAAGGAAACATTGCTCCAAATTACTAGTATCTTCACCAAGTGAATAAAACTAGAATTTTAGTCTCTGTCGTTTGTTGATTTTAGCTGGTAGAATAAAGACATTTTCTATGTGTCGAAATTTAGTGACAAATGAATGACTCAAGTGAGAGTGACCCAGAAGATTTTGGTGGACAAATATTTTCCTGAGCAGTACTAAGTAATGACAGAAGGCTACTTGTGCCAGGCATATACATTTTCATAGGAACAAAACTATTAATGAATGCGTCTAATTTGCACAGATGTACATTAGCTCTCTTCATTTTCTCTACCCCTGTTTTCTCCATTTAATCAAATCTAACTTCACCAATGGCTCCACTTGCAAATTTAAGCATTCTGAACCTACGATTTCATGGTTTAGGACTTGCCTGACCATCATCATCTCCTTTGCTGCCAACCAGACTGAGGTGTGTTGAACAAGATGTAAGGCCTGGGTCTCTAAGCGGCTCCTCAATTGTAGTGCACCTTCCTCCTCCCACTGAGCTCTGGATTGGCTCTGAGCACAGGCCTGGCATGTGGATGTGACAGGGGTCCTGGTATTTCATCCCATCTCCTGCTCGATGCTTAGTGTACCCAGCTGTCTTTGCTCCTGCCACATGTGAACATATCTCTCTTAGACCAATACCACCATTTAGACTTCCCAATTCCACCTGCCTGAGTGAATGAATACCCGGCATTTACTGCCTGGTCTCAGCACACATTCCCCTCCTGTTGCCCCAGAAGCCATACTGCCTGTGATGATTAATTTTGTGTGTCAACTCGTAGGATGTTCTTGGATAAGAGTAACAGTTAAATCAGTGAACACTGAGTAAAGTAGATTCTCCATCATAGTGTGTGTGTGTGTGTTCTCATTCAAACAGTTGAAAACCTAAAGAGAACAAAAATTAGTCTCCTTGAGCAAGGAGGAATTCTCCAGCTGACTGCCTTTGGACCTCATGTACGCTATAGGCTTCCCTGAGTCTCCAGCCTGCCAGCCCACACTGCAGATTTGGACTTGTCAACCTCCGTAATCCCATGAGCCAATTCCTTATAATAAATCCCTTTCTATATATGTACACATCCTGTTGGCTCTGTTTCTCTGGAGAGTTTTGATGAATACACTACCTTGTGCTGGAGTCCCTCAAACTGCAACACTATAATAATTGTATGTGTTCATATTTGCCTCTGTATATGTACATTATCTACTGTGGGAAAATGAAGCTTCATATTGACTTTGGATTAGAGGTCTGATAGATGATTTTATTTTCTATAATCATAGCAGAGAGTCAGCCAAAATGCCATCTAGCAACAGACCTCAGATCTTTGCAGTTGTTGTTTCTTCTGTCTGAAATGCTCTTCCCTCTTCCCCTTATAATTGTTTGGTTATTCCTATATTTTAATCTAGATCTATACTTGAATGATCTTTTCAGAGAAGCTTTCTCTAACTACTGCCTAAAATAGCACTTTCTGTCATCCCACATAGCTTTTTCTGGATTGCTATTCTGTCATGACACTTACAGCTATCTGACATTTTATTGTGCATGTGTGAATTTATTTGTTGTCTAGCTCCCCTGTATCATGTAAAGTCCATGGACTTTGTTTTGTTCACCAATGTATCCCTGGTGCCAGGAGAGGGATTTGCATAGACTAGATTTTGGAAAATATTTGTTCAGTGAGCAAATAAATGGATGCACTTTCTATTTATTAGTAGTAGAATAATTGGCCCAAGGCTTGCTTACTTAATTTGAGCAAAGTCAGAATCCTAAAGCAAACGTTATGTGATTCTAGTGAAAAGTATAATACCCTGTAACAAATATGTTACAAGATTGAGAGATCATGAGAAGATTATCATAAGGTATTACTGAGAAATTAACAAAAAAACTTTATGGAGTGAAGAATTGTGTACTAAAGGGAAACATTGTAGTTGTGATGACAAGTAATGGAGTTTGTATGGATTCAATGTTTAGGAAGACCTTTATCCCGCCTGGCTGATTTCCAACCATGCTGTTTGTTCCTAGAGCCTCTGTGGTTACTGGAATGTACATGTTCTCCAGCCTTCTCTAGCTTTTCTTATTGAGAAGAGCAATTTCAACAGAATATTTGCATTATGTATGTTAAGATAAATAAAAAGAGAAGAATATTCTTATATAATTGTTTTTATTCCTAAGGTAAAATATTAAGGCTGCAGACACATGCCTGTGCCTGTTATTCCAGATGCTGAGTGCTAACATAATCCTGTAAATTAATGGGACAGGCTAATTGGTAAACACCTCATATTCTTTTGTTTTGTTTTGTTTTGTTTTTAGATTCAAGGGGTGCATGTGCAGGTTTGTAACATAGATACATTACATAATTCTGAGTGCTAAGATCTGGACACCTATTGTGCCCATCACCCAAATAATGAGCATAGTTCTTGATATGGTTTGGATTTGTGTCCCTGCCCAAATCTCATTTCAAATTGTAATCACCAAAGTTGGTGGTGGGGCCTGGTGGTAGGTAATTGGTTCATAGGGGTGGATTTCTCTGTTTGGTGCTGTTCTCATGATAGAATTCTCACAAGATCTGGTTATTTAAAAGTCTGTGGTACCTCCCCCGTCTTCTCTCTTCCTCCTGCTCTGGCCATATAAAACTTGCCTGCTTCCCCTTCACCTTCCACCATCACTGTAAGTTTCCTGAGGCCTCCCAGCCATGCTTCCTATACGGCCTGCAGAACCATGAACCAATTAAACCTCTTTTCTTTATAAATTACCCAGTATCAGGCATTTCTTTATAGCAATATGAGAACAGACTAATACAGTACCCAATCGGTAGTTTTTCAACACTTGCCTTCTCTGGAATCCCTACTGTCATATTGCTTATGTCCATGTATACCCATTGTTTATCTTCCATGTGTGAGTGAGAATGTGCAGTGTTTGGTTTTCTGTTTCTGCGTCAATTCACTTAGGAGAATGGCCTCCAGCTACATCCATGCTGCTCCAAAGGACTTGACTTTATTATTTTTTATGGCTGTGTAGTATCCCATGGTGTATATGTACCACATTGTCTTTATACAATCCATTGCTGATAGGCACCTAGGTTGATTCCATGATTTTGCTATTGTGAATAGTGCTGTGATAAACATACAAATGCAGGTGTCTTTTTGGTAGAACAATTTATTTTCCCTTGGGTAGATACTCAGTAATGGGATTGCTGGGTTGAATGATAGTTCTATTTTTAGTTCTTTGAGGAATCTCCAGCTGCTTGCCACAGGAGATAAACTGATTTACATTCCCTTTCTCCACATCCTTGCCAACATCTGTTATTTTGTTGACTTTTTAGTAATAGCCATTCTGACTGGTGTGAGATGGTATCTCATTATGGTTTCAAATTGCATTTTTCTAATGATTAGTGATGTTGAGCATGAACCTAATTAAACTAAAGAGCTTCTGCACAGCAAAAGAAACTAACAACAGAGTAAACAAACTACAGGAGAAAATATTTGCAAACTGTGCATCCAACAAATGACTAATATCCACGATCTCATATTCTTGACATGTAGTATAGTTGCATCTCGCTAGGTTATAGCATTGCTATGTCTGCATTCAGCTGGGAAAGTAAAGCCATAATGTTCCATGTTAGAGACACACAGTATAGAGACATTCCTAAAACACCATGATCCAGTCTGCCTCGCAGCCCCTGCATTGCAGTGTCTCATCTGCTGGCAGAGTGCATGTTGGCTACATAACAGACAAGCAGTAGACAGACTGAAATTACTTTCCATATTTGAGAATGGCTCTGGGGGCTAAAGTCAGAAAGCTGTGAGAAGAAGACAGGCTTTGGAGTCACGCAAACATCAAATGGAAACCAGCACTGTCTCTCACTGTTTGGATAAACTTGGCTAAATTATTTAATCTCCTTAAGCTGCAGTTTCTATATGTTTAAAGTAGGAATAATTTTACTTACCCGGTAAGTTTACCATGAAGGTATAAGGCATATAAGAATTATATTGTGAGATGATAGTTTTTCTCTTACTGTCTACCAGTTGCAGCTTATTAGATGTTTTGTTTTTATTTGTTTGTTTATTGTTGGGTTTGGTTTCTTCCCTTTGACTTGTCTGAGTCTAACCCTCATAGCACTTATAGAATTTATAATTTGGAAGAGATCTGATAGGACATTGAGGCCAACCTCCTCCTTTCATCTCCTTTTTCTGTCTTCTTAAAACACACATGTGTGTGCGTTTGCACATGCACAGAGTTCTCTGCTTGCTTCCCCATTTCTGACTGTAACCACATGTAATGACGATAAAGTAACTTCATGTTATCAGATACTCCCCTGATGTCCACAAAGCCCTGAAATGGTTTCTTTCCAATTGGAAAAAGATTTATTCATGTTTATAATTCACTAAAGTCCTCCTGCTTCTCCTTAGCAATTGCTTAACTCAACCTGTGAGTGGAGTTTCAGTGCTGCACTCTGTCCTTTTCCCATCTTGCCTTTTCTAGAGAAGTGAAAAAGGCTGCATCTTGCTTCCCTTTGAACGTTCGAAAACATATAAACAGAATATATTTCACATTTCTATAAAGAGCTATTACTTGTTTATTTATGTTTGTAGTAAAAAAAAATTTATAGCTGCACTATCCCACCCTACTTTACCCAGAAAAGTCATGTTTTGCTCTTGGAAGATCAACAGTTCTATCTTTAATTGAGGTATAATTTATGCATAATAAAATGTACTGATTGTAATTTTCAAGAGGTAAGGAGTTTAAACTCATGACCTAGTTTTTGAGAATTTTAATCCTACTGATTTAAAACAAAATAAGACCAAACCAAAAGGGTGATACATAGAGATCTGCTTCTGGCCCCAAGAACAGCAATGTAAAGTATCACTGTTTGAACACTCTGAATTTTCATCTATCTTCAGCTTTCTGATCATTATTGCATGTGGTAGTGCCTCTTGCAGAAGAAATTTGGCCTTTGGAAAAGCTAAATTGTAAAATTTGTAAATTATAAAATCTGCAAAATTGTAAAGGCTAATTCATTGGTGGTATTAACAAGTATAAGGTTAGTGAATTAAAAGTTTTGTGATCTTTTAAATAAACCTGGCCCTCTGCTTGACTCAATTAATAGGACCCAAAGAACTAAGACATATAGCAATTTTGAATGTAGATAATAATACTTACTTCTATCACTTTGCTGCGAGGATCAAATAAGAATTTAAGTACCTGGCATAAATTTAGATTGCCAGGCTGCAAGATTCATGAATAGGAGTCACTTAACTAGCAAATATCCTATTTGATGGCTCAATCTCATGTTACTGGATTTATGAACATATTTCTCAAGAATGTCAAGAAAGAATTGTACAATCTGATGATGTATGGTGAGTTTCAGTTGATCAAAAATACTTATCATTTTCTATTTAAAAGCTTGTTTTGATTAATGAAAACAAGAAATATCTCTTAGACATGTTGATTCCTCTAAGCAAAAAAGTTATTATAGTCATTAGGGAATAAGGAGTAACAAAGAACTATGAATACAATTAAAAAATTTCAAACAGCACATGCATTACGCTGATGAAAAATATTTTCTGCAAGTGTCAATTCTGTTAAACTATTATGAGACACTCTTGTGCACTCAGCCTGAGAAGATGCCACCTCAACTCATGTCACATCTACTGTGTGTTAGTGGATTACAGAGATGGAAGAGAACCTTAGTGAGAAGTTCCAGAGAGCCACACTAGTGCCTGAAAATCCTGGTGATAAACGTACAACCTGAGCCACTGATTTTTCCTAGCATATCACATTGTTATTGATGTGGTAGGACGATCGTTATTGAGGACCTATTAGGTATGTGCCTGCTCCTGAGATGAGAAATTTGAATAGATGGTGCATGCCCCAAAGAAACTTACATAGTAACAGAAAACACAGCAACATAAACGATAGAAAGCAGTGAGTTAAGACCAACAATAGAATTTTGTACTGGGTACTGGAAATACCTTGAAGAGGTGGGTGGTGGAGAGGGAGGTGTGTGTGGAGTAGTGTAGTCAAGGAAGCTTTCCTGGATAAGGGAAGGTGAGTCTCAAAGGACGAGTGGAAGATCTAAAGCTTCCATGACCTGTTTGCTCAAAGTCACCACTGTCTTGCTACAACATAAAAACTCAAATATGCTGTTTAGATCTGTATCCTCCGAGTTTCACTCTATGGATTGTAATCGATGGCAAGGAGGAAAGAAGCAGTATCTTCGTTGCTGCGAGAAGAGAGGCAGAAAGGAGAGGAGACCCAAGAGAGGCATGCTGTGACCCCCTAATTGCAGGCTTGTCTGTGTGTTGAGGTTTTGCCTCATACCTGTTGGGCAAACCTTTTCTGAACCGCTGTGTCTAATACATGTTGGTGGGACAGATTACGAATTTTCAGAATATGTGGGCTTTGAAGTAAATCCAGTGGGGAGTCTAAGTAAGCAGAGACTCGCCGTACTGGTTGTCAGCTTGGCAAGTGTCTTAATCCAGGGCCTGAAGGGAGAAGCTTTACTGTCATCAGCTCACGGGAAGATGGATAAATTGGATGCAGACAGCTAGAGCCTAGAGCTGCCAAATAAATTCTTAAGACTGAAATATAACTGTGCTATGCGCACAACTGTGAGAAATAACCCCACACCCCAAATACATCCGGATCCCGTTTAGAGTTAGAACATGTTGTATTAGAAATAATAATATTAATTAATATTATGAGGCCTATTTTCTGCCTTTGTGGGAAGGCAGCAGCCTGCAGTGGATGAAGTTCATGTTGTATGGGGTAGGGTGGCTGCTGCTTCTCTTGTACGTGCACCCCACACTGCAGGCCATGACTTGTGGCTGGGAAGAGTGAGTAGGTCTGGGTGTCTATGTGGATTTTTGTGTGTCTGTTTCTGTCTCTGTGCAGGTTTGCACGTTTGTGTGCATATATGTCTTTGTGTACATGTGTGGATGTATATGTACGTGTGTCTGTCCATGTCTGTCTTGTCTATATACGTGTGGGGTAGTATAAGTCTGTGCATCTGTTTGTTTGCCTATCTTTGTGCACATGTGTGGGCATGTGCATGGATCTGTGTCTGCCTTCATCATTTACATGAATGGAGATGTGTGGGGTGTGTACGCATCTGTGTGTGTCTGTCTGATTGTCCATGTCTGTATTGTCTGTGTATGTGTAGGAGGATTGTGCATATGTATGTGTATGTGTGTGTGTGTACCTTTGTGTACATATGCAGACACATTTTATATCTCTGTGTATGTGTCTGTGTGTCTGTCTGCTTGTGTCTGTGTCTCTGTGTGTGTTTCCCCAATGTGCCCTGTGCTCTGCAAGCTGTGCTTTCAGGTGACTCTTCAGCCCCAAGCTGGGCTTCCTCTGCAGTGATTTACAGCCTGAGAAAACCTGCTGCTCTTCCCTGAGTTGCCTGGCCAGATGTGTGGCTGTGCTGCTGGTGTCTGAGCGACTCTCTGGGCTTATCCTCAGTCACCTAGGAAACCCTGACAGGAGTGTTGAGAAAAAATATTTACCTCCTTACAGCTCAGAAAGACTTGCCAGAGCTAGAAAATGAAATTCAAGCTCGCTAATACCTACTACAGGGCATCTATGAATATCACACCATTTATTTTCACAGGCTTACTTGAGGTACAATAGGTCAGCAATGATCAACTTTGTTAATATGTAGGTAATAAAGTATTAAAAAATTTAAAAGTCACATGGTTAATCAAGGGCAGACAAATACTGTGTCAAAGTTGGCTGTATCATTAGCTGTTTTAATTCTCATATCTCTTCCCTTCTTAGTGTAATTAGGAATATGTACATTTCCATTGGTCTCTTTTATCTGATATGAATGCACTATGTTTATTTTGGAAAATGCCACAAATGCCTTCTTTCTGGTCCCTCACAGTGTGTTTGAGTTTCATCTGAACTTATTTGGCTGAAATAAGCTGTAATTTTTTAGACGGTTTTGTCAAAATAAGATATAAAAATGTTTAACCAATTTTTGATCAAAGTTTGATCCCAGTAGCAAGAGTGGGCTCTCCTCCCAGTGTTCCTTATCCTTGAATATGCAGACATATCTCAGTGACATATTTTTGCCTAATTTTCCAATTCTTTACTTGGCAGTTGCATGTGCAACTTAAAGAAATATCATCTTAAATATTTTAAAAACAACTTGGCTAATTGGGGAGGAGGGAAGAAAAATAATGTGGTGAAAAGTAGAATGTGATGTTAAAGAAGAATTCATGACTATTATTATTTTCCAAAATTATCCTCATGGAATTTGGGTATTTTGTCACGGTCTTTAATTGAATGCTTTAAAAGTAAAGAAAAACACAGATTCACTCCCTGCATCTTCATGCCAGTGCCCTAGAAAAAGTGGAGACTGGTGGCCTCCACAGCTCACAGCTCACACTGAAATCTCCACCCTCCTTGTCTCATCATGGCCACACATGATGGCGTAACATAACAGATCACGGACTTTCAGGGCTGAAGAGTCTCTGCAATCACTCAGCCCCACTGAGCCCTGAGCCTCCGTAGGCATCTAAAGACAGGAAGAGAAAAAGTACAGACCCACGACTTGCTTCTGGACCTGCTGCCTCTTGATCTGTGCACTTTCTTCCTATGCAATGGGACTCTTGGGCAGATTCTGAATGGCCACTGCAGAAAGGTTAACTCCACAGCAGGGAACGCAAGACCCTTACTTTCTCTCTTCTGCCCACATGTCTAGTTCAATTTTCTGCCATTCCTCTCTTGCCACATTACACTGAAAAAATACAGAATAGCCCCTAAATGCACTGTGGCATTTTATGTCTTCCTGTCTTTGTACATTCTGACTTCTGCCTAGTATGCTCCTACTTATGGATATAATTGAGAGGTGCTGTCTTAGTCCATTTGGACTGCTGTAACTAAGTACCATAGACTGGATGGCTTATAAACAACAGAAATTTATTTCTCACAGGCTGGAAATCTAAGATCAGGGTGCCAGCATGGTCAGGTTCTGATGAGGGCTCTTTTCCAGACTGCAGGCTGCTGACTTCTCGTTGTATCCTCCGCAGCAGACAGAATGAGAGAGAGCTCTGTGAGATCCCTTTTATAAGGAAACTAATTCCATTCATGAGGGTCCCACCCTCATGGCCTCATCTAAACCTTACTATGTCTCAAAGGCCCCACTTCCTAATACCTTCCCATTGGGGGTTAGAATTTCAACTTATGAAATTAAAGGGTATAAAATTATTCAGTCTATATCAGGTGGCAAGCAAACTCTCCAGCTCAAACACTCTCCCAGACTGGCACCTAAACCAATAACATTAATAATCAATTTTCTTTATATACAGCTTTGCTTCTCCTTGTGCTTCTCCTCTTCCCCCATAAGTCATCTGAGAAGACTGCTTAAATATTCCACGCTGCCTTAGTGTGACTCAAATTTCCAGCTGTTTTGCTGCCAGGAAGAACCAGGTGCCTTGGGAACAGTGAGGCTGAAAGGAGCAGGAAGCAAAGAATGAGGCTGTTGAAGGTAGGGTCTCCTTTGATTAGGGTTTTACTTAGGCTCAGCCTAGGGACTCTATTATACTAATATCTGATGTTTTTGGATGGTAATGTTGTGTCTGTGTCCCACATGTGAATGTTGAGGTGTCAGGCTTTCATTTGAGGGCTTTCTCTGTTGAATCCAGCACACTGAAGGTTTACATTGGTCTTTACTTATCCTGCCCTTCAATGAAAATTTAAAAATGTGGAGACAGTTGAAAGCCAATAAAGAATTAAATAAAAATTAATTTTTCCTTCCTGACTGTACCTTTCAAAACCTGGATGTTCTGGTTATCAATAAACAAGTGGCAAACCATGAAAGTAGTGGCTTATGATGACAACATTTGTTTTGCTCCTGAATTTGCAATTTAGGCTGGACTCAGTGGAGATAGCTCATCTCTGCCCCATTTGGTGTCAGCTAGGGCAGTTCTAAGATGGGAACTAGAAACATTCCAGGGCTCCTTGACTCACAGGTCGGGCTGGGCTGGAGCTGTCAGCGCGATTACCTCTAGGTGGCCTCTTCCAGGGGCTCGCGCTTCCTCAGTTATGGCTGAGTTCAAATGGCAAGCATCCTGAGAAAGGGATCAGGCAAACTGCCCTATCTCCTTTATGACCCAGCCTTAAAAATGATGCAGAATCTGTTCTGCCACTTTCCATTCATTTAGGCACAAAGCTCCACTCAAATTCAAGAAGGAGCATATGGGACCAGAAATACTGCTGTGCCATTTTTAGAAAATACAATCTGCTACACTGGAGCATAAATAAATTTTAATTGACTTGTTATTCCTGGTTTTCCCTTTCATTCCAGTCAGCAAACTCTTCTTCGGGTAGGTTTGTGGTGGCCAAGAGAGTCTTTTACATGCCTACATAATTATTGCATTTGATTTCCTCTTTAATGAGATCTGCTGTCCATCACCATCATTTATTTGTTCAGAGAGAACAACTTTTGTGCATATAAAAATTAGGTCTATAAGGATTTAAGGTTTTTATTACAATGGCTTTAAAAACAGCCTCACAGACTGTTGTACAAGATGAAATTCAAGCCCATTCACTTTAATTTATAATGGTTTGTGCACAACTGAAAGATTTATAGCAAATTTGAAATATTGATTTGAGTACATGTAGGTTTTCAGCAGCAAAAGTTTTTGCAAAGTTTTTCAGCAGACATGTACATTTTCTGAAATGTAATTGAAGTAGTTGTCTATGTTGATTTGCATAAAATGATTGTGTTTGATTATGTATCATTTTAACTAATCTTTCTTTTTTCCAAAAAAAAAAAAAAACAAGGAAAATCTCATGCCAATTTGGCCTTGACAAACATAAGGTTTTAAAGTTACAACAGTGTTCAGATATTGGTGATTACATAATGCCACTTAGATTTGGAATATTTGTACTGTTCTGAAGCTTGTCTTTTGTCTCATTAACCTGCAATCATCCTGAGTTCCTCTTCAGATGCCTAGAAAATTCCTAAATCAGGAGATAAATTGGTTCTTCCATTAATCGGCTGTATGATTATAAGCAAGACACAAAAGTTCCTTGTGCCTTGTAAATAAATTTTAATTGTCTTGTTAATTCCTGATTTTCTCTTTCATTCCAGTCAGCAAACTGGAATGGGGTCATTTGACTAAACAATCTCTGTAATGATTTACTTTATGAATGATATATCAGAATGACATTTACTGAAAGAGAGTGCTATAAACCAAAATAATTTGAAGAAATAATTTTTTATTCTGATGTTGAACTAGGAATTAGAAATGACAAAACCATATATTTTACTTTGAAATGGATTTCAACCCAGCTACCTGGGAGGCTAAGGTGGGAGAATTGCTTGAGCCTAGGGGTTCAAGTCCATCCCGGGCAGTATAGTGAGATCCTGCCTCTTAAAAAAAAATTTAAGACACTTTTAAAACGTAAATTTATCAAGTTTTTTCAAATTTATCAAATTTATCCATTTATTAAATGGATATCAAAACTTTTTTATTTCCTAACAATCAATTACTCCAACTCCCTTGAGACTTTTCAGTGTCTTATTCAAATGATTTTATTTAGGGAGCAGTCAGCCCTTACCTTGTTTTATATGACTTCACTACAATTTTGGAAACAGATGGTTACTTAATCAATACAATTTGATAAGGGCAAAAATAAGACAAAGTTCTTTGCATCTTAAATGTGTCTTAGAATAATAGTTTTGGGAACCCTTGCCAGTAATGAGGGCTGTACCCTTATTACATACAGGCGAAAGGAGACAGGGACTTTTGTTCTAGGCCAGCTGCTAATGCCCAGATTTTCTTTGGGAGTTTCGATGCTTGTGATAGATTAAATGTGGACTTCATTAAATATTTATGACCATTCTGAAAACTTTTATTTCAACTTATATTTATAGACCTACTCTAAAATAGGCACTCAGTACTAGAATTTGGGGCTAAGAAAGAAAATGGCACTCAGTGCATGTCCTCAAGGAATCTAGTGGCTGTCAGGTTGTCAACACTTAACCAGAACACGTAATAAGCTATAATATCCCTTAAAATGTTATTATATTAATTTTCTTTTGTATAATTCAAACAATTCTGATATTAAAAATAACTACAAACTTTTTCTAAGCCCTTATAATGTCAGATATAATACTAAGCACTTTATGTTCATTACCTCAAATAATACCCATTTTAATGGGTGTTTTGAGCATGGCTTCTACAGTCAGAGGTTCTAGATTCAAACCCCAGCTTCACCAGCTGTGATAATGACTTCAAGCCTCATCATAATGAGGTGTTTTGAGGGTTAAAATACTTAGCACACTGTCTAGAATAGTAAAGTTTCCATAAATGCTCATTAATTATAATTGCCATTGTTATGGTCAGTTCTATCAGGTAGGTAATACTGAAGAGAAAAGTGTGGCTTTGATCAGTCGAGTAACTTGCCTAGTGCCACCACTCTTACATAGCCTACTTGGAATGTTTATTTTTGTTTAATGCCAAATTCCTTAACCTCCAAACTATATTTGGAAATTATCCAGTTAATTTATATAGTTCACTTAACCTGTATAGTTATATTGTAAAACTTAGTAAAATATTTAATTTCTTTCAACTCTGTGAAGTGATCAAAACTTGATCCTTCCAACAGTCTTGTGATCAAAACCTCATGTTGTCTGGTTTTGTGTGGCAAAGTTTGCTAGTGAGCAAACTGGTTTCTCATCAAGAGTTGTGTGTATCTTTCTAAAACCAAAAAGAAAAGAGCAGGAATTATGAGTGTCCTGTTTGAACAGGCAGGAATCTTTGTGGCTTGGATTATTCTTTCCAAAACTTTGTTCTCTTATTCTTATGCTAAGATTACATATTTATGCCTCTTTTTGTCTTTTATAAAACCCACATTACACTGTGCTAAATGTCCAAAATTTCTTAGGATTAATGAAGCAGAAATAGTTGATGAGGGTTCTCAAAGTAAAATTATAGAATGTGATCAGATATGCATTCACATGCCAGATTAAGGGTGATTTATTCACTTCAGTGCCAAAGAGCAAATTCCTAAGCTACTTTGGGAAAACATGGCTGAGAGGAATGGAAAAATAGACTGGAATGAGAAAAACTGAAACAACATCTCTAGATAGAATTAATCAAAAATAACACAGAATATGAGAGTAGAAATTGGATAATATTGCTAGAGAAAGAGAAAAATTAAAAATAGCTATAAGCTTAGAAAGAGATGCCATTTGACTGCTTAGTTTTTAAATTCATGCACACGAGACATGGAAAAATTTGAAGAGTGAGCTCTGTTATTCTTAGTTACGAGAAAATCTTCAAACCTTGGTAATCAATTTAAGGAGCAAATTTTTACCAAATAAGAATCTCTACAAAAACAATGCTGCAGTATCTATTTATTACAATACATAATCAGGGATGTTACTGTTGAAGTCACACTATTTTTGTTACTTGAAATGCAAGACCTCTTCTGGTGAGACCTCTATAAATGATGAATGTGAACCCCTGATTCTTCACAATCCTTGGAGGAGATAGATGGTTAATTGAGATTAAATATAGTTGTTGCTGATATCACCACCAAAATGGAAATCATTATCATGATCAGAAACCGAATTTAGCAAATGTAGTAAAAGAAACGTTGAACTAGAAATCGGTGCGCCCCAGTAGGCCATTGGTTGTTTAGTAATCCTGAATAAATGAATCATTTTCTCATCTATGAAACAAGAGGCTTGGCCTTGCTCAGTGACTCCCCATTGCTGGTTGGAGTAACATTTTTAGGCTATGAAAAAGTTTTCAGGAGTGTGAGACCAAGTGAAATATGAAAACAAGAAGAAAAAGACAATATAGTGAATTTTTTATAAAGTTTATCTATGTCATTTTTACATTCTGAGATTGTTTATCCTACGTTGTTAACAATGCCCTTTCTCTTATTAAATAATGGTAAAATCTGACGTCCCTTGTTAGGGCAAAATACCTTTTCTCTCCTTGCCCTTCCTCTTTTTTTTTTTTCTTCATTCTACTTATGTGGAAAATCTAAAATTCTGGGAACCACCACTTTGTCTAACTTCTAAGGCCCCTTCCATCTCCAAAGTTCAATGTGTGTGTGTATCTGTGTGTGTTTGTGTGTGTCTGTATGTGTGTTATACAAAGTAATATAGTCGAGAATATGTGGGATTTCCCCACTGCATACATTGGACATGTCTGCCTATGTTTGATTAGATTAAGCCAGATGGACTCAGAAGGGAAAGGCATGGATCTGGAATCCGATGCTTCCTCTGAGGTGAGGCAGGAAAGAGAGGAAATCCATCTGCCACAAGATAGGCTCTCTGGAGGGCCTGACAGTGGTCAGGAAGCTTTGGTGTGGAGCCTCCACTGTGAGGTTATGGGGTGTCCCTATAAGCAGCAGGAACAGGCAATGCTTAGACGTTCACATGGACAAGCAGCAACAAGGAATATGTTTCAGGAGGAGATGGGGCTTTGGCCACTGAGGAGGACAATACAAGCAATGTCAGATGCCCCTCTTCTAGAGAGGACAGTACAGGTGGCTTACCAAAAGAGGCTGCAGTTCACAAGAACAGGTTAGATGTCTATCTGTCCATACAAGGTCATGAGGTGGACTCCACAACCAGGCTGAAGCCTAATGCCTAATAACTAACTGAGCAGAGGCTCCAGACCAGGGTCAGACTGCACAAGAGAGTGAGTGGTGCTCTATCTAGAGTGTTGAGTTAGACTATGATCCTCTGTATAAGGCATATTTGTTGGGAACTGTACAAGACTGAGCCTTCTGAAATGACTTAAGTAGTCCCGGATTAAAAGGGGCAGGTCATAGGTACAGTAGGAAGCCCAGGAATCGGGTAGAAGATTTGAGCAGGATGCTTTGTCTGATATCTCACAGTGCCATTTGTTCTTCCCTGGGCAGGAAAAGTAGCTCAGGCTTGTCAAACAGCCATTCTATTGAAAACATCCTTAAGTGACTTCGTATACAATTTCATTGTTCTGAGGTCCACTGGATCACCCTCTGTATCTGTATATACCTATGTGTATGTGTATGTGTATGGCTAAATTTACATTTTCTATGTATTCCTTTTAGTTTGGTCTTTCCCTCTGAAGTTTTTTTTTATTTCTTTTCTCAAGTTCATCAGACAATTCATTGCTTTCCTCTGCATAGATGCTGCGAACTCATAGATCTTGTAGCTGCAAACATTTAGAACCATATCAGACAGTGCTATAATTTTTGCTTCAGTGTAACTTAGAAAACTCAAGAAGAGTGTGGAAAGTCTATTTATTTAACCATATTTTTGCTTACCATGTTCTTTCTTTCTTCCTATGTCCCAAATTTTCTTCTTCTATCATTTCCTTTGTTTAGGAAACTTCCTTGAGCCATACTTTTAGTGCAAATCTGCTGGTGACAAATTGTCCTAGTTTTCCTTCTTCTGAGAATGCCTTGATTTCCCCTTTATTCCTGAACAATATTTTCAGTGGATATAAAATTGTAGGTTGACAGTACTTGAAACATGTTTTTCTACTTCCTTCTGCACTTTCTTTCAGCACTTGAAACATGTTTTTCTGCTTCCTTCTGGCCTACGTAGATTCTGATGGAAAATCTAAGGGCATTCAAATTATGTTTTTCCCTATAGGTAATGCATATTTTCCCTCTGGCTGGTTTCAAGAGTTTTTTTCTTTGTCTTAGTTTTCTGAAGTTTTTGATATGCCTTGGTGTGAATTTCTTTGGTTTTTATCATGTTTTGGATTTACTCAGCTTCTTCAATCTATAGGTTCAGGTCTTTTGACAAATTTGGAAATATTATAGCAATAATTTATTCAAATCCCTTTTTAGCTTCACCTTCTTTCTCCTCTCCTTCCAGAACCCAATGACATGAATATTCAATGTTTTGGAATAATCCAACAGGTCCTTGAGGCTGTTCATCTTTTTCAGTCTATGTTTTCCTCTGAACTTCAGATTTGGTCATTTCTATTTTTCTACCTTCCAGTTCACTGATTCTTCCCTCTGTCCCCTCCATTCCTCAAACCTATCCAGTGAGGTTTCTTCTGTCAGTTATTGTATTTTTCAGTTCCAAAATTTCTATTTGGTTCTTATTTGCATCTTGTATTTCCTTGTTGAAACTGTCTATTGCTTTGCTGAAACTTTCTATTTTTTCATTTCCTTGAAGCATGTTTATAATTACTCACTGAAGCATTTTAATGATAGTTCCTTCAAAATCTTAGTCAGATACTTCTGACATCGCTGTTATCTCAGTGTTGGCATCTGTCAGTTGTCAGTTTTCACTCATTTTGAGATCTTCCCAGTTCTTTATTTGATTTGTAATTTTTATTGAACCTGAATATTTGGGGTATTATGTTGTAAGACTCTGGATTTTATTTCAACCTTCAGATTGAGCTGTCTTCCTTTGACACCTCTCTGACAAGGGAAGTGGGGGCACCATCTTGTTAATGCCAGGTAGGATTCGAATTCCAGATATACTAGTGGGCCTCTGTTGATACCCAATGCGGTAATGGTGGAAGGCTCCTCGTTACTGCTGGGTAGAGGTGGCACTCCTGACTCCCCACTAGGTCTCCACTAACACTTTCCTAGCTGGGAGGAAAAAGAGTGCCTGGTTACTGCTCCCCTGTAGCCTGCCTGACACTACATGAGTCGGGGCTGCCTCATGTCCACTGGTTGGTGAGAAAACTCTTGACTCTCCATTAGGCCTCTCCTGACTCCACCCAGGGGGAAGACGGAGAGATGCCTCATTACTGCTGGGTGGAGGTAGAAGCCCAGCCTCCCCATGCATGTGGTCTCCACTGACATAGGAGGTAAGGGGAAAAACAGGATTTGTTGTCACTCAGAGGGGATAAATGTCCCAGCTCCCTATTTGGCCTTCTCTGATACCACCTCAATGGGAGGCAGGTCAGGTAGGGGGCAAACTGAATCGGCTCCTAACAGCCCAGAGAAGGTTAAAGTCTAGACTCTCCACTTGGCATTTGTTGGCATGGGTGGTGGGCCAGTTTTTTTTTTTTTTTTCCTGTGGTGTTTGGCTAGAGTAGAGCAATGGCTAAAAGTTTTCTGTTTTATCTGGCTGCCTCTTTCCTTGTCCTTTAACTAGAGAGAGCAGGCTTTCATTGGGCTTTTTATTTTTTTCTTTTTTTCATCCTTGTTGGCATTTTTGAGTTGCTGACTTTCCTATTTCCAAATCTGGGATATATAAAGCAGAGAGAAAAGCCAGAGATCTCACCACTGTGTCACTCCTTGAGTCCCAAAATTCCTAGTCATTCTGCCTTTATCTCACCACCTTTCAGAGTCTTCTTAGATTTGTTTTATTTATAATATCTGGGCTTTTTAGTTGTGTTTAGCAGTAGGAATAGGAAAAAGTATGTCTATTCTGTTTTCCCAGAAGTGAAAGTCAATTGCCTACATTTTACATAAAATAACTTAAAAGATTGGTTATTGTTCTTGCAGTTGTTCTTTTATTTGCTCACTCACTCATTCATGTAGTAGCACTGACAAAGTGCAAACCACTTGCCGCCTCTCGGTGCAGTAAGACTCAGCACTTCCAACGGTTAGTGCTGGGAGGAAAGGTTCTGGGGGAGAGGGAAGCCAGGCCTGGCCTCTTTCTCCCCAAGCACGACTTCTCCTTGACTTCTCCAATGTTCCAGCTAAGCCTGCTGCCGCATAGGCTCTTAGGTTTCCCTAGACTCAGCTGGAACCAAATAAGACTGTAATAAGCCAAGGGCAGTAAATATTAAACATTTATTTACAGTTACATAACTAAGCTTGTGAATCCACGAAAGAATTTTCCAGGGAAAAAAGTGCTGAGAAAAAAATTTTATAACCTGCCATTTTAGAAAACTATTTATTAGAAATAATCTCCAACTTATCAAAAAGTTGCAAGAATAAAAATAGTAAAATGAAAACCATATACCCCTTACCCAGATTCACCTCTTGCTAATACTTAACTCCATTTTCTTTATCATTTGAACTCTCCCACACATGTGCCTGATCTCTCCTTTATATATATACACATGTGATATTTTAACATGCCATTTGCACTCTAATTCTATGAATTGACTCACTAATGTCCTTTATAGCATTTTTATCACTCTGGTACGGGATCCAGGCTGGGATCAAATATTGCATATATTTGAAGTGTCTCTTTAGTCTGGAACAGTTCCTAACTGATTTGTTTTTTAAACAATAAAATGGTAGTACTGTATCTGTCTCATATCATTAATGCTATTTATAGGTACTCTCAGCAGATTGTGAACTTCTTAGCATGAAAAAAGGTAGAATTCCAGTACTCTTTAGTAGAAAAAAAGGATATTTTAGCTGCATGTAATTAAATCAAAAAGGAAAGCCATAGCGAAACCATAAAAATTTGAAATACTTGAACCGAAATTAGAAAGTGGTTTATATAAATTAAAATGGAAAGTAGTGTTCTTTTATCACTTAAAAACATCTGAGAGTAATTAATGGAAGTGTATTTGTACAATTTACACAGTAATTAAATGCTCACAAAGTTTTAAAATGACAGGTTTTAAAACTTGGCTTAAAAATTGTTTTATTCTAACTTGAAGAGTCAAATGTTGCTAATTTGCTTGTTTTGATACATCATCTTTGGCTGTGCATCATAAAAGTTTAAGAAAGGAAAGCACAGTATTTTTATTTATTTTAAGTACTGTATTCTGTGCAGCTTGTCAATAAGAACATATCCAAAATTAGAGGTACGATTAGTTGGCAAATGAATGATTATGTTTATGTGCCAGGGATCACTCCACTCCCTCGGACTGCAGTGGTGTTTCTCAAACATACTTTGAAAATATATTTTAAATGCATCTTCACAGTATGGGGCAAAACTAAACACTTGGCAACCAGAGCTTGTCTTTTGGTTCTTGCATGTTAGTGGTTCATTTGTGCTGTGTATGGAAGGCTCTGGTCAGCATCCTAGCATTTTCTTTATAACCAGGACCAGCTGAACTCTGATTTCATCTCCCAGAAAAACACGTTGTTTCTTATTGACTTGAATTTCTATTTTCTAAAGAAAGCCTTACTTTGCCTTGCCCTTAAGGATGAAGAGAGAGTGCTTCTCCAAATACCTTGAACTGACGAGGTCTGGATTGAACTTGACATTGAAAGATCTTTTGCACTGGAGAAGCAACTTAATCTCTGATTTATTTTAGGATTTTAAGCAACGTGAAACTTGCCAAGATATTTTCAAATCTGAGTAAAAATTATTTTATATGACTTATGATTTCTTTAAACAATATCTCAATTCAGTGGTTATCTTAGCCCATTTTGTGTTGCTATAATAGAATACCACAGATAGGGTAATTTATAAAGAATTTATTTCTCAGTTCTGGTGGCTGGAAAGTCTAATATCTAGGTGCTGCCATCTGGTGAGGGCCTTCTTGCTGACAGAAGACAGAAGGTGGAAAGACAAGAGACCATGAGAGCACAAGATGGGAGTTGTACACACTTTTATAACACACCTACTCTTAATGATAATGAACCCACTCCCACAATAATGACATTAACCCATTCATGAGGGCTCTGCCCTCATAAGCCAATCACCTCTTAAAAGTCCCACCCCTCAACGCTGTTGCACTGTGGGTTAAGTTTCCTACACATAAACTTTGGGGACACATTCTAACCACAGCAGTGGTTTTGAAGAAATTATCTAGTTTTTATTTTATATCAGTGTTCTTAAGTTACAGCATATTATGGGACATGTTCTGGTGTCAGATTACCCTTATCAGATGCCATCACTAGTAGGCAAGTTACTGAGCTCCTGTATGTCTCAGTTTTCTCATCTGTAAGAGGATAATAACAGTAGAGATTTCATGGGATTTTAAAAGCAGTAAAATGTTCAATTAGATGATTCATATAAAGCCAGTATACTTCAGACCCGGGCATGAGGTTTTCATCCTGGGCTCTGGAATTCAGAGGGAACCATTTTTACCTTCCCATAGTAGTGTTCTTTCCTCCAAGGTGAGAAATCTAGGAAATGTGGAGAGGTGTCAAAAAACTGTTTGCCCCATCCTCCAGTTCATGTTCATGTTACTCCTTCTAGAACGAGTTCTGGGCACCTGAACTCTAGCTTCCTGCCCTAATGCCTTTACATCTGCTTCAGAGCCTTTGCAGGCTTCTTTTTTGCATCTGGCTTCCTGAGGGCTGATGTATTAGTCTGTTTCACACTGCTGTAAAGATATATCTGAGACTGCGTAATTTATAAAGAAAAGAGGTTTAATTGACTTACAGTTCCGCATGGCTGGGGATGCCTCAGGAAACTTACAATCATGGTGGTAGGGGAAGCAGGCACTTTCTTCACAAGGTGTCAGAAGAGAGACAGAGTGAGAGTGAAAGGGGAAGAGCCCCTTATAAAGCTGTTGGATCTCATGAGAACTCACTCACTATCACAAAAACAGCATGAGGGAACCGCCCCCATGATCCAATCACCTCACACGAGTCCCTCCACCAACACATGGGGATTACAATTGAGATTACAATTCCAGATGAGATCTGGGTGGGGACACAGAGCCAGACCATATCAGCTGACTACCCTGCCTGTGCGACCATCTCTCCTCCTGAAGGAGGAGCAGTTAGCAAGGGTGTTTGGATTTGTGGACTTGGATGTTGACCTGTACACACTTATGTCCCCTTGCAGAGTTGCACAGAGTGAGTGGGAAGAGAAAGAGGTGAACTGAGGTTGTCTTTTCCTGTGCTCCCACACTCCTATACAGAGCTTTCAGGAGGGTGAGAAGGCATAACTCCCAGACTCATGGCCTTTCAGGTTTTTATGAAGGAATATTTGTCAAATAGGAAAACAGAACGTAGTTTATAACTGTTTATCTTGATGAATAATTTTGAAGTAGACCAAAATAGGTCATGTGACCTCCATTTCTACTCTTGCCCCAGACCCTACAAATGCTGGGGTGACAGTAATTAAACCAGCGAGTAAGTGACACATAGTAAGAACTCAGTGAACACTCACCACCATCATCATCATTATTGTCCTCATCATCTTCTGCTCTATGTCACATGTAGCCATTTCTCTAAAGTGGGTGGAAAAGCAGCTCCTTCCATGTATTGTCAGATACCAGCTCTATTTCTTAATGACTGTTGAGATTTTATGAAAGGAGTCTTTAGGAATGCAGTGGGAGAAGCAGTGTGATAGGGGTTCAGCTGGGCCTATCACCTAAGATGACTCTCCCAGCCCTTTGCCATGGGTTGTGTCTGGTCTCTATCACACTGTAGGTCTCCATTCAGTTCTCAAAGACTCTAATGGCCTCATTCCCTCAGGTTATCCAGTACCGAGTTCACTCAGTAAACATAGATATGCTGACATTCAGTACTTCAACCTTTTTAAGGCTCTGCTTAAGATTTTCTTTCATATTTTACATGTTGCTGCCTTTAAAAGAAAGTTTACGATAGTTCTGTCTCATGGTAGACTCTTGTCTCAATAAAGGTACCCACAGTCTAACAGCAGCCATGCCTTGGGGACTGAATTGTTGGCAAGCCACATTTTATGTCAAGGATTAATGATTGCTATTCAAATCTTCCATAGATGATGCCAATAATCCAAAGATATCTCATCAATGTTGCACCTAGTATGGTTCTGTTCTTTGTGATGGAAATATGTAGTAAGTCCAAAGTTGATTGTAGAAACCCAACCATTACATATAATGTGATTAAAGAGAATGTGTAACCCAAAAGGCTGCTTATGAGCAAATGAAAGAATTTTGTATAATGTGAAGAGCAAGGTTATCAATATTTTTAGAAACTAAACCTATCTTTTTCTTTTATTCCAAGTCCTGAGACTTTAAGTAAACTTACTCTCTCAAGCCCTCTTATTTTATTCAGGAAGAGTAATGTGAGGATTAATCCACACAGGCTGTGAAGTATAATCTAGTGCATTGGTTTATGTAGGGACTGGAGTGGGATAACCTGACCTGAATTTCCTTTCTAGCTTAGCCACCTGTGCCTCCATTTCTCATACGTAAGTTGGGGTCATAGTAGTGTCTACCTCATAGAAACATAAAATGAAATCATATTTGGAACTGCTATATGATAAAAAAAGAATAGAAGCTATTAATACTACTTCTATGAAGTAACCACTAAGATACAAAAACAGGTGAGGCAGTGTTCCTGCCCTGTGGGAGATGGAAATTTGGGGCACAGACCTCTGAGTCCGTTTCAGGTAATGAGATAGCAGGTGATACAAATGAAGCAAGGTCAGGGTTTGTGAAAGAGCAGGCAAGTCCAACCAAGTCTTCAAGGTTATTTGTGAGCATGAATTAAAATTTGAAGGATGAGTATACCTCAAATTAGACATGATGAACAAAACCCAATAGCTTGCAGTACTATATGTCAGTGATTCCACCCACTTGCATGTTGAGGAGCTACCTGCCAATTTTTTCATGAGCCACTTCAAAAAAGTAGCAGAAGTGTCAACCGTTTGGGTGAAGATGATATTTTGGGTGAAGCCCTACTTCAGTTTCTCTTCTGTTTCAAACTATAAACCCACTCAACCATTCCTGGGACATAAGGCTCCACCAAGGCCTCTCTAATTATGTGAAGTGGTTTTGTTTGGCAATACTAGATGCAATCTTACTGAATACCTTAGCATAAGCCTTTGTGTTGGAGAAAATCCAAGTTTGGGTAAAGTTTCAGCCTTTTCAAATGAGCTTCTTTGAACACACACAAAAAAATCCCACTGTCTGATGCATTTTCAGGAGAGACAGCCACAAGGCCCCCCTTCAACTTTGTGAGTGATGCGCTTCCACTGGCAAGAACTACAAGGACCACAAGAACAGAGTACTTGGCTTTCATCAAGCTGGCTATTGCTAATTATAGATACCATTTATGGGGGCAATTACTGTGTGTGAGCATTGTACTTGATGATTTCTACATATTGTAAATTTAACCTATGAAATCCCATGAAGAATAAGGCAACTAACTTGTTCAAATTAACAAAGCTAGTAAAAAGAGGAGCCAAGGTTTAATCCATATGTTATTTAAAGGTAAAAGATGTTAAACTTCATTACTTATTTTGCTTGGGAAAGGAGGACATTTTCCAACCTAACCTATGCCCAATGTAAGTAAAAGTATATATTTATAATCATAGCTGAAAGGAGCTTTATTTTTTATTAGCAAGAAGCTAGTTTTGTTATCTCCTAGCATCAGTGATGACTGCTGTATCCAGCCAGTTACAGTCATAGTTTATATTCCCTTACGTTTGTTTGGAGTAAAATAAGATGACAGAATTTGAAAATGTTTTTTCTCCAATCTTCAAAATACCAGGTAAACAAAAATAAAACATTTTCATTTTTTCCTCTTTCTTATTAACTATCCTTCCCTCTTGCCTGCCCTTTTCACTTTGCCCCCTCAAATCCAACCAACAGCAATTCCAAACTCTTTCCTCCCATGTAGTTCTCAAAATTATCTACTTTTATATTTCCCACTGTGACTATCTCAGTCTGCGCCAGGGAACAGACTTAGAATCAAACTCCCTGGGTTGGAATTGCAGTTCTACCACTTACCAGCGTGTGACTTCAATCAAATAATTCAGCCTCTCTGTGCTCCATTTTTAATCTGCAATTTGGAAATGATAGTACATAGTTCACAGAGTTATAAAGATAACAGAATGTATAAAAGTACTTAGAATAGGGCAGGGCATGACACATATAAACTGCCATCGTTCTTACCTTATTGTAAAAGGTCTAAGAAACATGGTCTCATTAAATTAACTAATTTGGTAGTTAATTTTACATGTCAACTTGACTAAGCTAAGGGATGTCCAGATAGCTGGCAAAACATTTTTTCTGGGTGTATCTGTGGTGTTTCCAGAAGATATTAGCATTTGAACTTGTGGACTGAGTAAAGCAGATGGCCCTCTACAATGTACATGGGCATTATCCAGTCATTCAAGGGCCTGAATATAAGAAAAAGGCAGAGGAAGGGCAAATTTTCTCTTTCTTCTTGAGCTGGGACATCATCTTCTCCTGCCCTTGGTCGTTGGAGCTCCTGGTTCTTGGACCTTTGGACTCCAAGATTTACACAAGCACATCCCACCTCCACCACCAACCCCAGTTCTCCCTTCAGACCTGGACTGAATTATACCACCAGCTTTCTCCATTTGTAGATGGCAGATCATGGGACTTCTTGGCCTCCTAATCACATGAGCCAATAATCGTATACATATGATTATTTTCATATATATTATATATATACCTATATAGGGAGACAGAGAGAATATATATACTTTATGTTTAAAATTTGTTTCTAGTATTTTCTTCTTGATTTCTGTTATTCCATTCCTTCTCATGCTGCCTCCTCCCCATCACAACAGGCACCATGTATCCTATGACTATGGAGAATACCTCATTTTCTGCACTAACCTAGCCCTATGACTCCCCAAACCTGATGCAATGCTCCTCCTTGATTTTAGTGTTAATAGCAGTTTGTGTCCTGAATCTTCCCTGATGACCATCCTCTCCCTATTCCATAAAATAACACCTACCAGTTCTGATCCTTCCTTCCTCAGATCCTCAATAGCTGATAACAGTTAATACGAAATAATCATTCATTCATAAAGGAAATATTATTTGCTGAACTCACACGAAGTGCCAGGCGCTGTGCTAGGTGTCAGAGATAGGACAGTGAAGAAGACAGAGATCATGACCCCAAGGAACTTCCATTCCGCTGAGGGAAATCAGTGAACCAGTGATTTGGATATGGTGTGTAGGGACTCTAACTGGGGTAAGGATGGGAACCTATGGGAGCAAAGGGGACAGCCTCAAAGAGGTGAAACTAGAGATTGAAGACCATGAGAGATGGCAGGAGGGGCATTTTTGGAAGTGCAAATCCCAAGGCTTGATACCCAGGAAAAGGCAAACAGGGCCCTTCAAGCTGAAGCAGCTGCAAATGACCAAAAGACCTCCCTTGTGTTGCCTTCAAGAATGATGGCCTCAGCATGGAGGTGCAGACAGAGAAAGTTCTAACCTCCTATTTCTGTGTCCTTGCTGATGGAAAATTCCACAGGAAACAGGACAAAATGAAACACATGCTTCTGTGAGACTTGAGAAAGGTCTGGAGAAGGGGAGTTCCTCTACTCGAGGAAAGCTTCACATCCCCCTCCTGCCAGCAGCAACCTCTGGCAGCATTTGGGTGGCTGCACCTCCTGCACCTCATTAGAGAACATTATGCTCTTCCTGGTAATTAAGGGCAGGGGCTGTAACATTCATCAGATTGAGTTTCATATCCTGGCCTCTCACTTGCTGGATTGTGGCCTTGAATAAATCATCCAACCTCTTAGAGAAAAGCCTTCCTTTCCTTACCTGTGAGTCCAAGGACAATCCTACTTGCATTTATATGAGTGATTGGCACAGTGCTTGGCATGTCGGAAGTGATAACGAAAGGTGGCAATATTCGATTCTCCAAGTAAAGCTTATCAATAGTCCACTATCAGCACAATCTGTGCTGTGACTAGCAAAGTTTTGTCTAAACAAAGATGCAGAACTGGGCACTATATGATAGCACAATAGCATGACTATAGTCAATAATAACTTATTTGTGTATTTTAAAATAAAATAAGGTAATTAGATTGTTTGTAACTCGAAGGATAAATGCTTGCTGGGACAAATACCCCCATTCTCCATGATGTGCTTATTTTACATTGCATGCCTGTATCAAACATCTCATGTACTTCATAAATGTATACACCTACTATGTACCCACAACATTTTTAAGTCTAATATTAAAAAATTAAAATAAAGAAAATCAAGGAAGTAAACATGCAGAACCCTTTTTATATTTGCCAATTTGGAAATATGAGAATGATAAGTTCAAAACCATCTATTGCTGAATGGATGACAGATTTTAACGCAGTGAGGAATTTAGTGATACTGAAATATTCGTGTATTATTCAACTTAAGTGTTTTATGTACCTTTGAAAAGTAATCATCTCTGTGCCCTTTTCATGTATGTATCTCAGCTCACTGCATTCCTAGTCCACAGTGGAGATGAGCCAATTTGCAACTTTCTCTGTCTGGCACTGTTCTCCCAGGTCATTTCAGGACTGACTTGAAGGGATAGCAAAAGGGCTGTAGCAAGGGTTGTGCTTTTTCTTTAGGCCTCAGTGTGTGGCACCTCTGTCTTTCCCCATTCACAACTTCCCTAACTCAAACTGCATTGCCTCTTGGAATTTTGCAACACAACAATGCCCGGCACCTATACTTGCTGTGTTTCCTGAGAATTATGAACAACTTACAAACCTTTGTGGGAATATGCCTATATATGTGTATTCTTATATTTAGAACACTCATTTCAACATAATAGTGTCAACAGCAGTGTTAGGAAGAGGAGCTATAAAGACGAAGATATCATGTCTCTGCCCCTCCACTTCCAGAGTGCAAAGCTGAATAAGAATGATTTGCCTGTACTGACTAATCATGTATGGATGTAATTGGGAGTAGGAGCACTAGGCTGGTGACCAAGATGACCAATCTTCTCTGATAAGATGAGCAGAAAAGGGAAGTCACCATAGTTTTCATGGAAGAAATAACATTTGGGTTGGACTTTGAGAGGTGAGCAGGATTTCATCAGATGGAGATCGGGGAAGATCGTACTGTCTGCCATAGGAATGTTGAGGCTAATGTCTGCAGCAGCAATAAGAGGAGGAACAGTAGTTGGGCAATGATTCTGGGGAAGGTAATCAGTGGACAGGGGGCTGTGGAGAGGGAAAATCTAAGGAAGATTATTGAATTAGGGAACTGTATAAAATATGTGATGCTTGCCTTCTTGTATCTTGATACCCTCAATGAAAAGTGGTTGAAAACCTGTTATTTATTCACTTAGCAAAGCTTAGGGTATTTCCTGTATAGTGCTCTGGAGTGTTTCTATACCAGTAAAAGATGATAGGCTTCTTAGTCCACCCATGATAATTCCCCACTATGTAAGATGTAAATGAGGGAGCTGACATGGCTCTGTTGCTGTCCTTGTTGATAGGTTAGTTCCACCTTCCTAATTCAGTCAGGGAGAAATCAGTACAATTCCCATAACTTCCTGAGTCTTTCAAGACAGAGAATTCTGATTTAGCTATTTCAATGCTTTGCCTCCTACACCCATTCATTCCTACCTCCATTTTCCTTAATTTCCAATTACCACAGCAATATGGAATACAAGGAGAAAAGCAAGATTTTAATGAGGGGAAGAGCTATTAATGAGTTCAGTATTCCCTTGTTAGTGCACAGTCCCTGCAGAATGTCGGAGCTTGGGCTAATAGACAACCATGGGAACTAATTTAGAGCTAGAGAACCTTGAACAGCTGAACCCAGCTGTAACCCATGACTGAGTGAGAAAGGAGGATGGGTGAATTTGTTGAGGATGTTCACAAGTGACACCTTCATCTCTATGACATGATAAGCAAGGTCTTCTGCTGAGAACAGGAAAATCAGGTGGGTTGGGGCAATAGAGGAAAGCAATAAATGTTTGGAATTATATTAGAGAATTGAATGCTAGCTGGCAAGTAGCAAGTGAAGGAATAACTGAGCAGCACTCATGTCTAAAATGAAGTGGAAAACGATGGGGTTATAGGGTGTCATATTATTCAGTTACATAGCTTTCACTAACAATATTTGATATCTGCCTTAGTCCATTTATATTGCTATAAAGGAAACACATGAGGCTGGGTAATTTATGAGGAAAAGAGGTTTTTCGGGTTCTCAGTTCTGCAGACTGTAGAAGCATGGTTCTGGCCTCTGATTCTGGTGAAAACCTCAGGAAGCTTCCAATCATGGCAGAAGGGGAAGGAGAGCAGCTATCACTTGGAGAGAGAGAAGGAAAGAGGGAGAGGAAGAAGACACCAGACTCTGTTTAACAATCAGTTCTCTCATGAACTAATAGATGAACCTCACTCATTGAACCTCACTCATTGCCATGAGAAAAGCACCAACCCATTAATGAGGGACCTGCCCCTATGATTTAAATACCTTCCACCAGGCCCCACCTCCAATGCTGGGATCAAATTTCAACATACAATTGGGAGGGGACAAATATCCAAACCATATAAACAATCCAGGAGAAAGCAGAAAGTTGGGTTAATTCAGAGTTGGGGACTGATTAGGCTTGTACTGCAGAAAATCAAGGAGGACTTTTCTGCTCATGCTACAATGTGATTTCAGTGCTTGGTGACTTCAGGCAGTGATGCATACCTCCCCACCTACCCCACACAAAAGTATCTAGGTGTATCAGTGTGAATGTATGTATTGTATGTATACTAAAGGGAGCTCATTTGTTTATGTAACAGGATTCAAGATTGGTAACATGCCTCAAAGCATTGTTATAGGGATTAAATAATCATATAATCTGTATGAAGCAGCTTTTATGCCATGATAGATACTCAATAAAGAATCTAATATATCAACATTGTCATCCAGAACCCATATCTTTGCATCTCTCCATTCTGCCTACCATGCCATCAACTTTTTCCTTGTTCATATCCAGTGAGAAAAAAAAAACAACTCTTGCAAAGGGTGAGGAACCATTTTTCTCAAACATCTCATAACTTATTAGTAGGATTTGGATCATATTTCTATATCATCGTCTATGTCCAAGAGAATTTCATTTGCTTATTAACATTGTCTGCCATAACCGAGACAAGCACTGTGGTTGGGGAAATGGGTTTAACATGGGTAGATTAAATAATAGATAGAGCTGACCAGGCGCAGTGGCCCATCCTGTAATCCCAGCACTTTGGGAGGCCAAGGTGGGTGGATCACTTGAGGCCAGGAGTTTGAGACCAGCCTGGCCAACATGGCAAGACCCTGTATCTACTAAAAAAAAAATATACACATACAAAAAGAAAAAAAAATCAGCCTGGTGTGGTAGCACACACCTGTAATCTCAGCTACCTGGGAGGAATCACTTGAACCCAAAAGTCAGAGGTTGCAGTGAGCCAAGATAATGCCACTGTACTCCAGCCTGGGTGACAGAGTCTGTTTCTAAATAAATAAATAAATAAATAAATAAATGGATAGATAGAGCCCACCCTAGAATTGCAGGTGGAGTTTACTTCCCTGTACAGATTCTGTGCCTATTACATCATGGCAGGGTGAGGGGTGCAGTGGAATATTTACCAGAGAGACAATCACAAAGTTCACTGTAATGGCTGAATTATTTAAGGAAAAAACTGTAATTTGCATAACTAAGATTAAACATAAAAGTCTCCTAGGCCCCCATGGAATTGTTTTATTATCACAAGATAGGAATGTTCTGCGTCACACTTACTGTCAGAAAAGCTGCTGTATTTGTTTATCGTGGGTGCTGTAACAAATTACCCCACATTTGGTGGCTTTAAACAACAGAAACTTATTCCGTCATAGTCCTATGGATCAGAAGTTTGAAATCAGTATCAATGGGCCAAAAATCAAGGTGTCAGCAGAGCTATACTCCCTCTGGAAGTTCAAGGGGAGAATCTGTTCCTTGCCTCTTTCATCTTCTGGTGGCTGCTGGCATTCCTTTTCTAGTAGCCACATCACTCCACTCTTCAAAGTCAGCATCTTCAAATCTCTCTCTGTTCTGTTTCACATGACCTTTTCCTCTATGTGTGTCAAATATCTTTTTTATAAGTATACATGGGATTGCATTTAGGACCCACCCTGAGAGTCCAGGATAATCTCTCTGTCTCAAGCCCCTTAACCTAATCACATTTGCAAAGATTTTGACATATAAGTAATAGTCACAGGTTCTATGGATGGAGACCTCATATCTTTTGGGGCTATTATTCAGCTTATATTTAACTGTCTTTAGATCAATTCCTCTAAAATAATATTCAGTCTTGACAAAAAAGAACCCTTATATAACTAATAAACTAGTACAACAGGAAAGCTAGAAGTACATTTCGCAATTACCATATTCCCTTAATTGTAAGAACTCATCAGCTATAAACAGCTTTAGAGAGAGAGAGAGAGAGAGAGAGAGAAAGAAAACACCGACTATATTAAATGTCCACATCAATCCTGATTTTAGAAACATTATAATGTGGGAAAATATATATTTAGAATTGAGGAAATGTGGTAATTTATATTGGACATATCACCAGGGAGTTACGTTGTTTAAAACTAGATATTTTATGGGTAATTACTGGGATTTTTCTAAAGAGCTATTAAAGGTGAATGGTAATGATTCCCTGAAAGTGTTTCAGAGTAAAGTCACCAAGACTATGACTAAAACACAGGAATCACAACTTTGTTGGTGCGTTGGAGATCCCAGAACAATTTCTAG
Organism: Homo sapiens; assembly: GCF_000001405.40. Classification (NCBI taxonomy): domain Eukaryota; kingdom Metazoa; phylum Chordata; class Mammalia; order Primates; family Hominidae; genus Homo; species Homo sapiens. The sequence goes on along the minus strand of NC_000012.12, from coordinate 29,992,992 downwards.
AGGTAAACCTTGGTCATTTACTCAGGTTTTCCCTTAAGTCACTTCTGCTCTGATCTCTTTATATTTTCCCTCTTGTAAAGAATGGTCAGCCACCTATTTAAGAAAAAATAGTGCAAGCCTCTAAGTAATGAGTAAATGAAGGAAAGAAGAGAGGAACAAACTGAATTGACCGAGCAGGCAGAGTGTTCTCCAAAAAATCATCTATCACTAAGTTTGTTACTCCTGCTTTCTGAATCTTCTACTTCTCTATCTCACTGTGGGAGGCAGGAGAATGCCCCCCAACAGATGTCAACACCTTAATCCCCAACCTGTGAATATGTTGTTACATGGCAAGGGGGAATTAAGGCTGAAGATGAAATTAAAGTTGCTAATCAGCTGACCTTAGGATAAGGAGATTAGCCTGGATTATCCAGGTGGGCACAATGTCATCTAAGAACCCTTAAATGGGGAAGAGGGAGGCAGAAGAGCCAGAACCAGAGAGAAGGCACTATGCGAAACAGTGGGCAGCCACTGCTGGCTTTGAAGACCAAGGGAGCCATGAGGTAAGGAATGCAGCAGCCTCTACAGCCTGGAAGCAGCCGGGAAGCAGATTCTTCTCTACAGACTCCAGAAAGGAACACAGCCCTGCTGACTGACTTCAGGCCACCAGAATGAGGTGATAATAAACTTGCATTGTCTTGAGCCACTAAGATTGTGGTAATTCTTTTGGACATTACCTTTCTTTCCTAGATTCCTGAAATAAGGCCTGATGTCATTTTCAGTCTTGTCTTCTTGTGATCCATGTCTACCTGCAGTCACAGCTGCCTTTCTAGAAGGGTATACAAGAAGTCTTACTCATTTATTTAACGTCATCCAGTGACTCTCCACCCTGCAAAATAAATCCCAAATTCTCTAATGTGACTCATAAGGTCCTTTCTGGGCTGCTCCACTTCCAGACCTTCCCCTATGATACAGCCATCCACCATTTCTTCCAGTCCCTCAACCACCTCATGCTATCTTCTCTCTGGCTCCTCTGCTATAGACATTCTCCGCCCTCCAAAGGCTCCTCCCCTAGAGGCCAATTTCTACCTCCTCTTCAAGTCTCAGCTTGGCTGGCACTGCCTCCTGAAAGACTTGCCTTGTCCCCACGTTTGGGTGAGGTATCCTATTCCCTGCTCCCCAAAGACCTTGATCACCCATCCTGACAGGCCATTTTCTAACTGCCCATATTTCCTGTCCTCATGTAAATTCTTTGAGGGTAGAAACTATAACAGTGAAACAACAAAAGATCTAACAGAGCTAACCCCATTTTTTAAGGGGCCTTTACCCATTCCTGCATATAGGCTAGGATAATTTTAGAGCCCTGAGATACTATGCAAACACCATGTCCTTTTTAAAACTATCTAACTCTGAAATTAAAGGAGAAGTACGTCAACAACTAACTATGTTTTGCTGAAGATTTATAGGAGCATTGTGACCTGACAAAGGACAAAGAAGTTCCCAACCTCCTTGGATCCCCACTGGTGCCCAGATGTCTGCAGTCATTGGTCACCTCTTGATCTCAACCCCCTCCTCTCCCTCGCCCTTAACAACAACAACAACAAAATTCATAAACACGACATTTGCACTGACTTAAGATGGTACTTGAGGATACTAGTCCACCACCTTCTCAGGTTTTGGCTTTCCAAATAAACCTGCTTTTCCTCCCACTAACTTTTGTCTCGGGTTTTCACTTTTGAGCACAGCGCAGCTGATCCTGGGTTCAGTTACAGAACTCTGACTGTCCCCAGCATGTAGCTTAGTGTTTGGCACGTAATGGGACCTGCATATATATTGAATGACTGTACCCATTACTTCAGATCAGAGAAATGCATGAAATTAATTTGGCTAAACCATCTGGTTTCAGACGTGTCCCCCTTCTAATTGTTCAAGAAGGGCTCACAGATGCCTTTAGCTTTTCCTCTCTTCTCTCATTACTTACAACTGTACTCTTCACACTGTTGTCCAGGCCAGGCATGTCATAATTACCTCATTTAAGCCCTACTTTACCTCCCACCATAACTGTGTCCTTGAGATGATTCACAAATCCCCTGCACAGCCTCAAGGTCTGGAATACATTTGCTTTTTTTCTAAACATGGAGACCCTGAGATTTGTGCAAACGAAAGCAAAAACATGTAGGTGGAGAGAGACCTTGAACCTTCATATTCACCATTGAATTGATTCTAATAATGGAAGAAACTTGAATTGAGGAAATAATCAAGTTAATAAAAGCAGAGACTAAAGCTATTCTGCATGTTATAGCTAATTTTTTTTTTATTTTGCAGAGGAGGTTGTGATTACAAGCTATTTTCATTTTTAAAAATAACTTAATCCTTTGTTTCATTGTACTGACATTGATTAACTGAGACCATTTCATCAAATATCCATGATTAAAAAGGCTGCCCTTTTAGAAAAGATAGACATGAAAAGAAGAAAGCGTTTACCTAATGCTGGAATTCCCCCTAGAAGGATAAACTTTTATAATTATCCTCTGCAGGATCTAACTCTGAAGCAGTGCTGTTGCGTCTTCTGCCCAATGCACCCTAAATTAGGAAAGCCAGATTGGCCTGATAATTGGAGAGTTACGTTTCCCTTGTGTGCCCTCAGATCTATAATTGGGTCAGATCTATAATTGGGCCCTGCCGTGTTCTGAGAAGATGCCTCAGGTAAGATGACAGAACCCTGTGTGAGCTCTATCTGCATCTCTGGCACATACAAAGAAACTTATATTTACAAGCTAAGGCATTTTATTCATATGCAGGTAGCAGGCCTGTTCGAATGAGCACAACTTCTCCATGGTTTTGAGTACAGGCTTATTTAATAAATCACATTTTCACTTATTTTGGAAGTCATGGCTTTCATAGAGATAAAGTACCATTTCAAATGCAAGTTCATAAAGCCATGAGTAAAGGCGTAATGTAAAATAACAAATTTCTAATTGTTATGGTTTTGTCTGTTTTCATTATTTTTTTGCTCAGAAGTTCCACTCTGCCTGTAATGCCTAAGTACACTACTTCCATGGTAATTTCCTGAAAGCCCAGGTTTTGAACAGGGAAACAGTCTACCACTGCCCTCAAATAAGTGCATGATACACATTTATACTTTTCAGACCATTGTGTATTTCACTCATCTCCTCCCAGTATATGACATGTTTTTTTGTTTGTTTGTCTTTCTTGACAATGAATATGCCCTTGGAAGTGGCATAGTTCTTGCACTTCAAGTTTGTGCTCAGTATTTAAGTCTGTTATTAAATGTGCCAACTTATCTTGTATTTTAGTTTTTCTGTATTTATATATAAAAATTTCTGTAGTTATTCCTTAAGAAATGAAAATGTAACATCCAGTTGAATACATGGAGGTAAACAGGAGGTGGTTGTTTTGGGGCTATGCATGGTGGCTCACACCTGTAATATGAACAGTTTGGGAAGCCAAGGTGCAAGGATCACATGAGCCCAGGAGTTTAAGATCAGCCTGGGCACTACAGGGAGACCCCATCTCTATAAAAAAAAATTAAAAATTAGCCAGGTATGGTGGCTTATGCCTCTGGTCCCAGCTACTTGGGAGGTTGAAGTGAGAGGATCACTTCGGTCCATGATCAGGCCACTGCACTGCAGCCTGGGCAATAGAGCAAGACCCTATCTCAAAAAAAATGGTGAGTTCTCAGGATATTTTTCTGAAAAATCACTAATGACACAATTCAGTATACAGTAGGCACTCACAGCTTGAGAAGAATTTACATGGAAATACTTTATAGCAATTAAAATATTCTACCAGATTCGTTACATTAGATTTAAAATAAAATGAGATAGTACTTTATTGCCATGCTGGAAATGTGAGACTTTTTAAAAATCCATATGCATATTTATATTGATTAAAAATGAATAGTTCTGACACTCTCCTCATATTTTTCCACCTGGAGGCAGTATAGAAAACATGATATGACTTATTGGGGAAGCAAAGATTTGGATACTGCGTTAATCCACAACTGAATGTAAAGCTCTTGGGTACTCCATTTACATCATTGTATTAGTCAGTGTTCTCTAGACGGACAGAACTAATAGGATAGATAAATATATAAAGGAGAGTTTATTAAGTATTAACTTACATGATCACAAGGTCTCACAGTAGGTCATCTGCAAGCTGAGGAGCAAGGAGAGCCAGGAATCCCAAAACTGAAGAACTTGGAGTCTGATGTTCGAGAGCAGGAAGCATCTAACACGGGAGAAAGATGTAGGCTGGGAGGCTAGGTCAGGCCAGTCTTTTCATGTTTGTCTGCCTGCTTTATATTCTAGCCACTCTGGCAGCTGATTAGGTGGTACCCACCTAGATTAAGGGTAGGTCTGCCTTTCCCAGCCCACTGATTCAAATGTTAATCTCCTTTGGCAACATCCTCACAGACACACCCAGGATAAATACTTTGCATCCTTCAGTCCAATCAAGTCGACACTCAGTATTAACCATCACAATCACAATACTGAATTTTCATGGCAGTCATCTTGAAAATGTTTCAGATCATTAATGTGTTTAATTTTGAACTTGTAGCAACTTGATACATAAACTTTGCTTTTGAATCATGCAAATGTGAGCAAGACGAAGCAGGGTAAATCCTCTTCTGCATTTAATACTATCAGAAACAAGCAGAAACAAGGCAAAGATGTTTTTGTTTCACTGCTTTGCAATATCTTACTAAAGTACTAGCTAATACAATAGCACCAAAAAACAAAATAAAAGGTGCACATATTGAGGAGGAAGAAATCAAATTGTCTTTGTTTGCAGATGACATAATTATCTATATAGGAAATCTGAAAGAACTGAAAAAAAAAAAAAAACTCCTGGAACTCAAAAGTAATTATAGCAAGGTTGCAGGATACAACATTAATATACAAAAGTTAATTGCTTTCCTATTTACCAGCAACAAACAAGTGGAATTTGAAGATAAAAACACAATGACATCTATGATACCCCTAAAATGAATACTTAGATGTAAATATAATAAAATATGTACAAGATCTGTGTGAAGAAAACTACAAAATTCTGATGAAAGAAATCAAAAGATATTCAAATACAGTAGACCCCCCCTTATCCATCATTTTACTTTCTATAGTCTCAGTTACCTGTGGTAAACCACAGTCTAAAAACAAATGACTACAGTACAATAAGATATTTTGAGAGAGAGAGAGACCACCTTCACTTAATATTTATTATGGTTTATTGTTATAATTTTTCAATTTTTTATGAGTTGTTAACCTCTTACTTTGCCTAATTTACAAATTAAATTTTATTATAAGTATGTATTGTTAGGAAAAAAGCATAGTACAAAACAGTCCCTGACTTATGATGGTTACACTTATGATATTTTGACTTTAAGATGGTGCAAAAGCAATATGCATCTAGTAGAAATCATACTACGAGTATCCATACAACCATTCTGTTTTCACATTCAGTGCAGTATTCAGTAAATTGCATGAGATATTCAACATTTTATTATAAAATAGGCTTTGTCATAGATGACTTTGCCCAATTGATGTTCTAAGCACATATAAGTTAGTCTAGGCTAAGTTATGATGTTCCATAGGCTAGGTGTATTAGATGCATTTTGACTTACGATATTTTCAACTTACAATGAGTTTATCATGACTTAACTGTATTATAAGTTTAAGAGCATCTTTATACATATGGTTTTGTACTATCCATGGTTTCAGACACCCAATGGAGCTCCTAGAACATATGCCTTAAGGATAATGGGGGATTACTATAAATGGAAGGATATATTTCATATTCATGGATAGGAAGGTACAATATTGACAACATGTCGATTCTACCCAACTTGATCTATAGATTTTAATGCAATCCCAGTGAGAATTCCAGCAAGTTATTTTTTGGATATCAACAAAGTGATTCTAAATTTTGTGGAAAAAAGGCAAAAATACTTAGAATAACCAACACAATACTGAAAAAGAAAAGCCAAGTTGGAGGGCTGACACTATCTGACTTCAAGGCTTATTATAAAACTACGGTAATTAGACAGTGTAATAAACAACTAGATCAATGGAACAGAATAAAGAGCCCATAACTAGACCCAACTAATCTTGACAAAGAAACAAAGGTAATAGAATGGAGAAGATAGTCTTTTCAACCAATAATGCTAGAACATTGGATACCCACATGCAAAAAAAGAAATCTAGACACAGTACTTACAGCCTTCACAAAAATTAATTCAAAGTGAGTCACGGACCTAACTGAAAACAGAAAACTATAAACCTTTTAGAAGGTAACATAGGAGAAATATCTAAATGACTTAGGCTTCAGCAGTGACACAACACCCAAGACACAATCTGTGAAAGAAAAAAATAATAAGCTAGGCTTTATTAAAATTAAAAATTTCTGACCTGCAAAAGACACTCTCAAGAGAATAAAAAGAGAAGCCACAGACTGGGAAAAATATTTGCACAAGACCTCTGATAAAGGACAGCTATCCAAAATACACAAAGAACTCTTGCAAACCCAACAATAAAAAAAAAAAAAACACCAAATTTTAAAACTGGACCAAAAACCTTAAGATGCCTCACCCAAGAAGGTAACAAGACTGAATTAGTTCTCACAAGAATGAATTAATCCCTATGAGAATGGGTTGTTTTAAAGTGAGGTCGTCTCTTGAGTTTGGTCTCTTTACACACACCTGCTTTCCTTTCCACTCTCTGCCATGTATGGGACAGCAGGAAGCCCTCACCAAAAGCCAAGCAGATGCCAGTCCTATGCTCTTGGACTTTCTAGCCATCAGAATCATGAGCCAAAGAAACCCCTTTTCTTTAAAAACTTACCCAGCCTTAAGTATTCTATTATAGCAACCCACAGAATGGACCAAGACAGCAGGGTTTTGTTTGTTTGTTTACAAAACTAAACATACACTTACTATGCAATCTAGCAATTGTGGCCCTTGGGATTTGCCCAATGGAGTTGAAAACTGATGTCTACACACACACACACAAACTGCATGTGCTATAAAAGTTTATAGCACTTTTATTTGTAATTGGCAAAACATGGAAGCATCTGGAATCTCTTTCAATAGGTGAAGAGATAAGCTGTGGTACCTCCAAACAATGAAATGTTATTTATT